>NC_000007.14:145670500-145822016 GCF_000001405.40 Homo sapiens
GTTATGCACCAATAGGTAACTAATATAAGGTAATTTTGATCCACGCCAAAGGAGAAGAGACCTAAGCAGCTTTGAATGAAGGCCAGAGGAGTACTAAGTAAGAAACTGGAATTTGTACTGTTTTAATTGCTTGGTAACAATGCTAAAACAGACTAGAATATACTTAGAAGTTTAGGTTTGTTTCTTTTTTAATATGGTCTAGAGAATATCAAGATCCTTCAATCCACCAATTTCCTTATCTACAGTGGATCATGATAAGCTCTCTGAGTATATTCCTAAAATAGCTTCATGATACAAACTTTGCCAAAAATTAAAAAAATAGTTTATAATATGTCCTTGCTGTGTCTCTATATTTTGACAATAGCAAACAGAAGTAGTGTTTTCTGGATGTCAGTTACTGTTTTATATGCTTTACATGTATTAATTTATTTCATCTTTATAATAACTAAAATAAATACTGGTTTCATTTATATAGATGTGGAAACTGAGATGTAAGAAGGATGAAGTATTTTACCTAGGATTACATAATACTAAAAGACAAATACACACTCAGAAGACACAGTGTCCTTGACCTTAAAAAATATTAACTCTTTGTTTTGTGCCATTTCTTTTCCCATAAAATCTAGATTAGTCTATTACTAGTTAGACTATTATTTTTATCATAACAATAAATATTTCATTTCTTAGAAGCTTTGTTTTTATTTTTTCCCATGAACTCTTTCTTTTGTAAAGCCAAATCGTCACAGTCAGCCTCTATGTTAAAAATAAACCTGCATTCCTTTGATCTGCTTATATCCCCTCTGGTGGGTATTTAGCCAATCTGGGTTTAAATCTTGGTTCTGTTACGTATGAACTTCAAAACCTTTGCAATATCTTTCAGATTCAGTTTTCTCAACTGTAAAATGGGAATAATAATAAAATTGTTATAGGATATGGAAAAGATTAAAATGATATATTGTATATAAAGCACCTGTACAACATCTGATCTAACAGGTGCATGCTAAATGCTAATTCCATTTTACATTCCTGAATTTTTGTTGTGTCTAGCCTTTTCCTTCTTAGTCACATGAAACATGGCAAGAGTTGACATCTAACACGAAAAAATTTTCTTATAAGACCCTAGTAATTTATTTTTTTCCTCTCAAACCACAGTATTCTCTTAATCCTTATTCTCATTATTGTCTTTATAGTTCTGGGGATTTTATTGCTTCTTTCTTTTGAAAATTTATCCCACCCTGACTTCTGTTGCATTATCTTATACTTATACCTCGCTATTCTGTTTGACCCTTCCTTTTTCTGCCATTTTAGTAGTACTATTAGGATGAATGCATCATTCACCAAGTATTATTAACCATGTCCTATGGTGGCCATCAGTGGGCTGGAGCTCTACAGACTATATGAATAGTCTGGACCTCTACAGGCTATATGAATAGTCTGGAGCTCTACAGGCTATATGAATGCAGTCACAATTTTTTATTGAGCCTTTCTGTCTACAGGCATTTTCCTAGGTTCTAGGGATACAACACTGAATAAAAAGTTGTAAAAACCCATTAATTCATTCTAATAAGTTATTCCACAAAGAAAGAAAAAAAATAGCCAAACAGTACGTATACCAGACCTATAGGGCAAGGATCATTAGTGGTTACTTAGGTGCCCTCTTGACCATTTTTACAGTAGGGTAGGGAAAAGATCTGGCCAAGGTGAACACCAGACTCTTAATTGTGGGTATTTCAAACTATGTGCACACCTCCATAGACTGCTCAGGGGCCAGAATAGGAGAGCAATTTGACATACCATTGGTTTTACTTCAACCCTCTCCTTCTAAATCAGTGCCAATGATTTCAAAGAGAGATGGCCAACAACCCCATGTGTGATACAATTGTGGGCTGCAATTCAAGACTTACTATTTAGCAGGTTTGATTGCTCTAAGCACTTGGGAAAAAACAGCCTATTGCTTTTCTGGTAGGCCAACTTTCAAGAGATGAGAAGAGACAAGGTAACCCTTACTTTTTGTGGGGAAACAAGATGCATTAAACAAGATGCATTAGAAAAGCACAAAGCATGCCAGATGGTAATCAGTACTTATGGGAATAAAGAAAAGAGGGAAAAGGGAGAAGGGAATAGAGAGGGTACTCAATTTTAGATACAGTGGTTAGGAAAGGGCTCAGAGAGAAGTTTGTGTCTGTATCAACAGGAGGTGAAGAAGGAAGCCATATAAGTTTCTGAGAGAAAGATCTTCCAGCAGAAGAATAGCAACCGCAAAAACTCTTGGCATGGTTATGAAATAGGAAAGAGGTCATTGTGTCTAAATCCCAGTGAATAAGGAGTTAGAGATGAGCATGAAGCAAAAATTAAGACTTAATTCTTCAGGGACCCTACATTCTGTGGGACACAATTGAACTTCCCTTCTAAGTGCAATGGTTTTATTCACATTCGTTAGGAGACTTCCTTGGGGTTTTTCAAATTGAACACAGCTTGTATAAATTCTTTATTTAAATATTAATTCATATTTTACTCCATCAAGGATACATCATTTGTGTATTTGAGTCCTCATCCACTTCCACTCTCATCCTTTTCTAAAGTTGTATGTTTTAAAAAAATGTGTCAAACAATTTTGCCCTATGGTTTCCTTCTGAGCAGCCTTAGCCTGTCAGCAACCAGGTAGAAGCTTCCTGCTTATCTCGCATTATCTGCTAGCTGTGAGCCAGCTCTAGCAAGGTACAACCCAGGGTACCATCTTTACTATCTCATTGGTTTTCTACTTGTCATTCTTGGCCCCAGGGCTGCAGAACAGCTCTGTCCTGGCAACTCAGTAAACGTCTCCAGCATCAGTGGGCTATCACTCACCCTCTCCAAGAAGGATTCCCTCTCAGCCTTGGGAAGGGAGCCTCTTTCCCTTGTTTGTTTCTTCCTTGCGTTCTCTCAGCCCTTTCATAATTAGCCATTAGTAGGTATTCCTCTGTTCCCAATTAATATTTTTTATATTAAATTTTTTCATATGTAAGTTACTGGTATGGTTTATGTGTCCTGACTGGATTCTAACTGACGCAGAATTATGTATGAGAAAGAGTATGTAGAGTTTATCACCTGATAAACTCTGAAAGGTGGTACTTTAAAAGTAGTTTAGTCGGCCGGGCATGGTGGCTCACGCCTGTAATCCCAGCCCTTTGGGAGGCTGAGGCAGGCAGATAACAAGGTCAGGAGATCGAGACCATCCTGGCTAACATGGTGAAACCCCGTCTCTACTAAAAATACAAAAAATTAGCTGGGCATGGTGGCGGGGGCCTGTATTCACAGCTACTCTGGAGGCTGAGGCAGGAGAATCCCTTGAACCAGGGAGGCGGAGGTTGCAGTGAGTGGAGATCACACCACTGCACTCCAGCCTGGGGGACAGAGCAAGACTCCATCTCAAAAAAAAAAAAAAAAGCTAGTGATTTTTTGCTGACCTCCTTGTCAATGGAAAGCGGGATGCTAATAAACCATATGAACATGTCCAACTTTAGTATATTAGACCAAGTAATTCTCCAAAGTTGTTATATAAATTTGCACTGATTAGCAGTGTATTTGAATTTTCATTACATCCTTACAAATACTTGTCATTGTGTGTCATCTTGGTCCTGGCAAATATGTAGTGGTATCTATTTATGGTTTTAATTTTTATTTCCATTAAGACTAATGAGATTGAACACATTTTCCTATACTTACTGGCCATGTGAATATCCTTTTAATCATTTTCTGTTCAAGTACCTTGCCCATTTTTCCTTTGGCATGGCTGCTTTTCTCTTATTCATTTATAAGAGTTCTTTATACATTCCCTAGACTATCTCCTTTCTTAGTAGTAGTCATTGCAATTATTTTTCTTCCAGTCTTTGGAGATACAATTTAGAATAATAAGAAAACTCATATGCTAAGAAATACATCTGAAATTAAGTTTAGAACACATACACACACAGCTGTAATAATTAAAGAAAATAATATTATCTATGTGAGACATGCTGTGTTCATGGTTTGGAAACCTACAACATGTAAAGATATCATCTTTCCCAAACATTATCTATAAATTCAATAAAGTATTGATCAAAATCTTGGCAGGTCTCTTTTAGAAATTGAAAAGCTAATTCCAAAATGTATATGGAAGCCTGCCAATCTTGAAAAAGATACCAGATATGAAGACCTACTCTAAAGCCTCACTAGCTTAGACAGTGTGATTTTGGCATGAACAAATACAAATAGAGCAAGGAAAAACTGCAGAGCTTAGTACCCAAGCCAGCACTCTTTTCCTCAGAGTAGTTTTCACAATTCCTAGAGATAACTGATTTGCAATTATTTGAACCTCTGTTTATATACAAATATTTGTTCTCCAAGCTTCGTCCAAATTCTGAACTCGTATTTTCTTCTAGTCTGTAATTTTCCCTAAATAAGATTCATTTAAGGCAGTTTCAAATAGTCCTTTGCATATGCCTATGACTCACAGCAAGGAATTTCTCTTTGAAGGCTACTGTGTAATATTTATTCCCAGAAGAATTTTCATAAATTTTATTTCTTAAATTACTTTAAGACAGAATTTAGCATGCGCAATGTCCAAAATACAGTATATTCTCTCTACTCCCTTGCAAGTACATTAATTCCCTTTTTAGTCACTGTGATACTTTGTCAGAGATTAGATTTGGTATCTTTCTGTTAGTTTAGAGGCATAATTGTAGTGATTAGGTGAGAGGAAGAAGCCGTTTTATAGGATTAGCAGTGTTCCTTATAAAAAAACATAGCATTTTGACAGATTTCTCTGTTTTCAACAAAGGACATTTTAATTTCCAAGGGCTAATGTTATAGAGAATATTACTGCCCATTCATAGAAAACAGCAGGGACCATTGTTAACAACATGCCTACTTTTGAAGACATTGTTCGGATTTTGAGTTTACTTGAAAAGATCATGCCAGTTTTGGATGGCATTTCCCAACAGGAAAAATCAATAACTCTGTTACAACCATCACTCATATACAGGTCAATTTTGAATACATTTTATTTCCTGCTGATAGATGTAATTAATTGTAAAAATAGTTTCACATTTCTCTTTATAACTAAAGGTGATGTACTGCTTAAATGATCTCAAAGGCATGAATTATCTTTTGAATATGCTAGATGGTTTTTAGAGTTTTTTTTTCTCAGCCAGTCTTCCCTTTTTCTTGTTTATGTTAAACTAAAGTGTTTGCATTATAAAAAAAATAGGTTTCTTTTTCTTCTAAGGATCAAGTGTAGGAACTAAAATGAAAGATGATCTATTCTGAATTACTTAAGAAAAGTGAAAAGATTTTTTACTAATGTTATTGAAATCTGTATTTTATCAATAAGTTTTTAATTTATAAATAAAAGGTTATTACAGTTCATGCAAATATTTTATATTTGTGTTAAGATAGTTGTGACAAACTCCCATTATTAACCACTTTAGGTTTTGCTTCAACAGTTACAAGCTGAAATCTCAATCTTCTTACGGCACTGACAAAGAATGAATGAGGCAGAAACAGTTGAGGTTTTGCTTTCCCAGGGTGAATTGCAGGCAGTGTCTCAAGGAGAAGGTGGTTGTAAAAAGGCTTGGCCATTTCCATCCAGTGTGGGGCTCCCTTAATGGCTCATATTTACTTTAGAGCTCCCCTTTGGACAAAGAGACTTTAGCCGGTCTTCACCATGGTTTAGTGTTTCTGCCAAATCCTGTGTCTCCTCTGTGTTACTACTCTCCGATAAATATTTTGTACTCTTATCTTCATTTCAGCATGTACTTCTTAGAGAAATCAACCTGTGATAAGGTAATTTTTAAAATATATATAGAATTATATTACAAATCAGAAACAGAGACAAATTAAAATTCAATAATGCTACACTTTAATCTAGAAAAATACATTTAGCTAAGTCATCATAGTTACACTGATTGCTATAAATCCTGCTGAGCATATTTAAAATGCTTATCATTAGTAGTTTTTAAAATGGGAGAAAAAAGGGAATTTTTCAAGGCAAAACACGTACATGCTGACTACACAATTTGCAATCAAACAGTGATTGTTACAATAGTCAGATAATAAGTGACCGCTGTTAAATATTACCTTTAATGTTGTCGATTGCTTTTTTGAGTAAATACTCTTTAGAAGAAAAGCAAGTTTATATCTTATTATCAGTAGAACAGTAAGTAATTGTATTAGTATGTTCTAGGAATGGTTGATGAAGGAAGGAAGAAAATTTCACAAATACTTGAATTATTAAAATAAGAAACTTTCCAAAATTTTTGCTGATAGATTTGACATAACTTTTGCTCAGTGATAACTGTAAATATGGAACTAAATTTTAACTATACAAGCATGCTTAAATTTCACAATCTTTGATTTAATCACAGGGAATCAAATTCAAAAATTCTATAGATAAATCAGCATCTACTCCAACGTATTGTAATTATATACAGAATGTTAATTTGTATGATTCCTGATTTTTGCCTCTTAATATGGATGTTATCTATAGCGTGGTCTTTAAAGTCAGCATTTTCAGAGATCTTCAAATACATAAAATATGTGAGATGCATATATAGCTTTATGAACACACTGCTGCTATTGTTTGAATGTGCCCGCCAAAAAGCATGTGTTGGAAACTTAATCCCCAGTGCAACAGTATTGAGAGGTGGGACTTTCAAAGGAGATTAGGTCATGAGGGCGCTTCCTTCATGAATGGATTAAAGTTGTTATTGAGGGAGTGTGTTCCTTATTTTGAGAGTGGGTTTGTCATGAAAGTGAGTTCAAGTTCAATTATACTGCTCTCTCTAATGTACTTTCTTGCCCTTCTGTCTTCTGCCATGGATGACACTGAAAGAAGTCCCTTGCCAGAAGCAGTGCCCTGGACTTTGGACTTCCCAGAATCCAAAACTGTAAGAAATCCACCTCTATTCTTTGTAAATTACCGAATCATAAGTATTCTGTTATAGCAACAAAAAATGGACTAAGTCATCACTAACATAAAACTCTTCATTAGTTTGTTTTGAAAGAGTTTAAGAGAATCCCTGGTTAGATCCAGAGGTTATAGCCTACAACTATTACTGTTGTTCCCCTTCTACCTACCTATATTTTGAGTTCTACAGCACAGTGCAGAGAAGTCATCCCAGGGAGCGCTAAATACTTGATGCTTTAATAATGTCAGAGTTGCTTGAACCAGAGCAACTCCATCTTGAATAGGGGCTGTGTAAAATGAGGCTAAGACCTACTGGGCTGCATTCTCAGGTGGTTAAGGCAGTGTAAGTCATAGGATGAGATAGGAGGTTGGCACAAGAACAGGTAATAAAGACCTTGCTGATAAAACAGTTTGCAGTAAAGAAGCCAGCTAAAACTCACCCAAACCAAGATGGTGATGAGAGTGACCTCTGGTTGTCCTCACTGCTACACTCCCAACCATCACTTTGACAGTTTACAAATGGCATGCCAATGTCAGACAGTTATGCTGCACGGTCTAAAAAGGGGAGGCATGAATAATCCACCTCTTATTTAGCATATCAAGAAATAACCATAAACATGGGCAACCAGCAGCCCCCGGCTCTGCTCTGTCTATGAAGTAGTCATTCTTTTATTCCTTTACTTTCTTAATAAACTTGCTTTCACTTTACTCTATGGACTCGCTCTGAATTCTTTCTTGTATGAGTTCCAAGAACCCTCTCTCGGAGGTCTGAATCTGGACCTCTTTCCTGTAACAATGGGATTCCAAAAAGTTTGTACTTTAAGAGCGATGATTTCTCACAGCTAAAATACTTATTTTATCTTTGCAGGCCTTTAGGATTTACAGCTCCATCTCAGTTTTTCAACTTCTTAAATGCTCATTATAGTTTTCTACCACTTTCAAGAAGCTTCCTCCTGCAATACAAGGTAGCATTTATCTTTCTCCTAGCTAGTCTTAGAATTTATTGTTTATGATATATACTTTAGCATTTAATTATATTCAAGTTAATACTTTCTTGCTGTATTTTTAGATTTTTCTGTAATTTTTAAAGTACTCAGTGTGTTATTTTTCCTAAAATGTTGTAACTTTTTAGAGATGAACTATGACAAATATTTATCTTGTATCAATTTTTCCCCCAAAGTATTGTAACTTCTAGCAGGGATGATCCATGAGTATGTTTAAAGTTTTGTAACTCTTTTATTAAATTGAACTGAGAGTAAATCTATTGTGGATAATGCTGTTCTTGGTGTTATCTTCAGTTAATATGGCTGAATGAATGGAGCGAGCCATTCAGAGATAGTGCATTTCAAATGTGTTTGGTTTCCATTAATAAAATTCAATATAGATATGAGACTCACTCTATTGAAAAATCTGAAGATGCAATAAAAGAATAAAATAAAACATATCTATTTTATTTTATAGCTTCGGAATTTGGCCATAGCTTTATTAGGAGCTATAAAAAATGGGAGAGCATTTTCAATGTATAGTTTTCTTAAACTAGGATATAATTTGGTTTCTTTTTCTTGATTCCTCTTCATCTCCCAAAATTACATCGGTGAAACAAATCTGATGTCCTGCATTGCCACACCAGGTTTCATCTTTCAGACTGAAGGAGCCAAGAACATTTGTGTGGGCTTAGTGAAATAAAGATGGATATAATTTGTTTGGCTGTAGCAGGTCTTGCAGAATCTATTTGCTGAGCGTTAAAAATCTTCAGATACTGTTCTAAGTGTTAGTAAAGAGACCAGGGGTACTAAAGAATAGTGGTACTTGTACATAGTCTCTCAATTTTATATTTAAATACTAATGATGTGTACGTATTAATTACAGTTCACATCAGTATTATATTTAATTCATTGATTTGTATTTTTGTGTAGTAGTTTATACAGATAAACATGTAACTTAAAAAATTATTCACACTTAACTTTAATTATGTGTGGATTTGTTTACATATTAAACAAATATTATTGAGTCCCTACTACCTGCCAAGCACTGTTCCAAACTTTTGGAATACAGTGGAAAATAAAAGAGAGGGAATAAAACTCTCTGTCTTCAGAGACTTTGATTGTTGAGTTCTTGAAAATCTAATGTTACAGACACTAGCATATAGTATTAATAGTTTTTATTAATATATAAGTAAGTAAAATTGACCTGTATAAGCAATCTTGTTGCCATACTACTCAAACAGTGCTAAATGTGAATTGTTTTAATCATCACATAGACATGGCATTTAAAATCCACCTGGTAATAGTTGATGTTTTTTCTTCATGCCTACTATTTGTGGGTAACAGGTGAGTAGTATGTAAAAACACCGTAGCATAGCACGGGCATCCATACCACATAAAAAGTACAAGATTTCCAAAAGAGATGATGGATGGATGGATAGATAGATAGATAGATAGATAGATAGATAGATAGATAGATAGATTCCACAATCACAGAAACATAAATATTTATATACTTATATAATCAACTGTGTGTGAATGTGTATCTTTGTGTCCCACAGGCTGATTGTATAGGAGCACAAATTAGAAACTAGGTGACCATCTCTCTTGGGAGACACCCCACTGATCACCACACAAGTATGCTGGCCTAAGGCATAACATTTTAAGAGAGCTGTGATTGCATACCTTCAGGCAAATAGGTGACAGATGCAATGAAAAAATAGATGGATTTATACAAATATTTCAAGAAAGTTGTCAGCTTTTCTTTTTTGCTGAGCAGCCTCAGGGAAAAATGGGAAATTACCAACTAAGATGGTGTTGTGAAAATCAACACAAAGGGAAACAAAGAGGGTCCTGCTAATCCGATAGCACACCCATCTAAACAACTGCATTAATGAGAAAGCAAGGTGCTCAATTGGGAGAGTGGCAGTGTATTTTGTAAGACATACCTTTCATGTTTAGATTTTAAATTAGCTATATTGCTTAGTTCTGTTTTCTAAGTCAAACAAAAATAATAGAATAATTGAGCTACCCAAAAAATAATTGTAAGGCATTTGGAGACAAGACAAGGTGATAATCCATTAGGGAGAGAAAATTTAACGTTTTCTAGCTCTGCAGAAACAGTGGATAGAAGACTAATTAGCAATTTAATACATTAATCAATATCTGAGTTCATTTTATATTGTCTTAAGATCAGTTGGTATCCTGTTCTTTCTTTTTAACATCCATAATATTTGACATCAGCCAACACTTGGACATGAGTTGGTTAATGCAATTTTTTCATAAGCAACGGTTATTAGTAATGTGCAAACTGCAAGAACAAAAACTGTCTTGGTTTTTAGTGTCAGGCTGAGAAAAATGCTCAGTATAAAATTTGTGGATGATAAAGTAGTCTCAGGGATCTGTTGTGAGCTCTAGGGCATAATGCGATGGGAAGAGTTTAGGATTTGCCGTAACAATTTCAGGGCTCAACAGCATATGTGCCACAGTTACTGATTGTAGTATACTGTACAATGCTGCTTAAATGAAAATGGCTGTACATACTTCAGAATATTTTCTTTTTGTAAAAGTGAGCATTTTATTTTATTTAGGTAAACACTTACATAGAAAAGTGCACATATCATTAGCATAGAACTTGAAGAATTTTACAAATTGATTTTTCTAAAAACCAGTAACCAATTTTAGAAACAGAGTACTTACCAACATCCCAGAAGCCTTTCTTGTGATCCCTTCCAGTCTCTACCTTCTTCCAAGGTTAGCTTCTAAAAGTTTATTCACTTTTTATAATTAAAGTGAAATTTGTTCCACATAAAATCAATCACTTTAAAATGCACAATTCAGTGGCAATTGGTACATTCACAGTGCTGTACTACCACCACCTTTATCAGATGTCAAAATATTTTCATCACCCCCAGAGAAAACCTTGTATCCATGAAGTAGTCACTTCTCATTCTTCCCTCTCTCCAGTCCCTGATAACTACTGGGACTGTTTTCTCTCACTGTGGATTTATCTATTCTGGATATTTCCAAGTTGTTTTCTCTCTCTGTGGATTTATCTATTCTGGATATTTCTCTCTGTTTTCTCTGTCTGTGGATTTATCTATTCTGGATATTTCCAAGCTGTTTTCTCTCTCTGTGGATTTATCTATTCTGGGTATTTCTCTCTGTTTTCTCTCTGTGTGGATTTATCTATTCTGGATATTTCCAAGCTGTTTTCTCTCTCTGTGTATTTATCTATTCTGGGTATTTCTCTGTTTTCTCTCTGTGTGGATTTATCTATTCTGGATATTTCCAAGCTGTTTTCTCTCTCTGTGGATTTATCTATTCTGGGTATTTCTCTCTGTTTTCTCTCTCTGTGGATTTATCTATTCTGGATATTTCCAAGCTGTTTTCTCTCTTTGTAGATTTATCTATTCTGGTTATTTCCCATGGACTCACACACTATGTGACCTTTCGTGTCTATCTTCTTTCACTTAGCATGAAGCTTTTGAGGTTCATCCATGTTGTAGTATTTATCAGTGCGGCAGTCTTCCCTTTTCATATCTGAATAATATTCTATTATATATACAGTTGACTCTTGAACAACATAGGGGTTGGGGCACTGACCCCCTGTGCGGTCAAAAATCTGCATGTATCTTTTGACTCCCCACCAAATTAACAACTAATGAACTACTGTTGACTGAAAACCTTACTGTTAACATAAACAGATGATTAACACATACTTTGTATATTGTATGTATTATACAACTGTATTCTTACAATAAAATAAGCTAGAAACAAGATGAGCTATTAAGGCAATCATAAGAAGGAGAAAATATATTTACTATTCATTAAATAGAAGTGGATTATTATAAAGGTCTTTATTCTCATCTTCACATTGAGTAGGTTGAGTAGGAGTAGGAAAAGGAGAGGTTGGTCTTGTTGCATGGGTGACAGAGGCAGTAGAATAGCTGCACGTTAGTGGCTCTTGGAGTTCAAACATGTTGTTCAAGGGTAGACTGTATATATCTGTATGCCACATCTATTTATTTGTTGTAGTTATCTATTTATTTGTGATTGTTATCTATTTGTTGATGGCTATTTAGGTTGCTCCCATCTTTTGGCTATTGGGTATGGTGCTGCCATGAACATTTGTGTGCAAGTATTTTTTGAATCTCTGTAACTAGTTCTTTTGGGTATATACCCATGAATAGAACTGCTGGGTGATATGGTAAATCTATATTTAACTTTTTGGAAAACTGTCAAACTATTTTCCACAGTAATTGCATTATTTTACATTTCTACCAACAATGCACAAGTGTTTAAAGTTCCACACACTAACCAACACTTATTTTCTGTAGTTTTGTTGTTGTTGTTATTGCTATCCTAAAGAGTATAAAGTGCTAAGTTATTGTAGTTTTGATTTGCACTTCCCTAATGACTAATGACATTGAGTATCATTTTATTTGCTTGTTTGCCCTTTGCATATGTTTCTTGGAGAAATTTATATTTAAGTCTTTTGTCTATTTTTAATTAAGTTGTTTGTGTATAGTTGTTTATATATCTAGATAGATCTAGATCTTTATATCTAGATCTATCTAGATATATCTAGTATCTAGATATATCTAGTATCTAGATATATCTAGTTCTTTATATATCTAGATACTAGTCTCTCATCAGATATATAATATGAAAATATTTTCCCCATTTTGTAGGCTCTATGTTCTCTTTCTTGGTAATGTTCTTTAATTCACAAAGTTTTTAAATTTGATGAAGTCCAATTTTTCAGTGATTTTTTTTGTTTGTACTTTTGATGTCATGTCAGAAAATCTTGTACCAAATCAAAGGTCATAAAAGTTTACTTGTATGTTTTCTTTTAAATGTTTTATAATTTGATTCTATATTAAGTTACCAGTCTATTTTGAGTTAATTTTGTATATTGTGTGTGGGCACATATCTATATTTTTTATATATGGTTATCTAGTTGTTTGTCCCATCACCATTTTTTGAAGAAACTATCTTTTCCCCATTGAATTCTCATGGCATATTTGCTAGAATCTATTGGCCATTTATGTATGGGTATATTTCTGAACTTTTAATTCTATTCCATTGATCTATACAGTACATCCATCCTTGTTCAAGTGCCACGCTGTTTGAATTTCTGTAGCTTTGGAATAAAAATGTTGATATTAGAAAGAATATGTCCTCTAGCTTTGTTCTTCTTGTTCAGTATTTCTTTAGCTATTTGGGTCTTCTTGCAATTTCATGTGAATCTGAGGATTGACTCTTTCATTTCTGCAAAGAGAAAAAACTTATTGAGATTTTGATTGGAATTTCAGTAACCCTGTAGGCCACTTTAAGTAGCATTGCCATCTTAATAATAAATCTTCTAACTCATAAATATATGTTGCCTTTCCACTTATTTGGATCATTAATTCTTTTCAAAGTTGTTTTGCAATTTTCAGTGTAACAGTTTTGCACATCCTTGGTCAAGTTTATTCCTAGAAATTTCGCTCTTTTGGATGTAATTGAAAAAGGAATTGTGTTCTCGATGTTATTTTCAAATTGTTTTATTGTTACAGTTTAAACATACAACTGAATTTTATGTGTTGATTTTGTACATTCTATCTTTGCTAAATTTTGTTTATTAGGTGCAATCATTTGTGAAGGTTTTTTTTGGTGGACTCTTTAGAAATTACTGCTGATTTTTAATTCAGTAGATTATTTTGACTATTTTCGAGCAATAGGTAAATATAGCCTTTTTGAATTTAATCTTACATGTTTGGCATTTTTGTTGAATATTATGTTTTTGAGATTCATCCTATTCCCCTATTCTTTTCTATTGTTTCAGATTGTTACCTTAATTGCTGTATATTTTACATTGCTTCAATATATCCCAATTTATTTATCTAACCTATTGTTGATGTCCTTAAATGGACATATCGTTTTAAGATAATGCTATGTATCAAAATTTCCTTTAAAGTTGCACATTTTGTGCTTTGTGAAATTGTCAATTCCTATGTCATGGGGATGTACTCTATGGATCCTGGGAAGTAATAATTCTGTGGTAGGCTGAATAATGGCACCCAAATACAGTCATCCTCTAATCCATAGAACCCATGAATATTACCTTCTGTGGCAAATGTGACTTTTCATATGTGATTAAGTTAAATATCTTCAGGTTGAGAGATTACATTTGAATTATGTAATCTCTCATAGAGTTGAATAAACAGTGTGGACCCTAAATGTAGTCACAGTGTCCTGACAGGAACCATACAAAGAGAGATTTGATGAAAGTACCAGATTTAATGACAGAAGCAAGAAGTTGGGCTAATTTGAGAAAAGAAACATGAGCCAAGGAGTTCAAGCAGCATCTAGAAACAAGAAAAGGCAGGAAAAAAAGATTCTATTCCTAGAGCTTCCTGAAAGAACCAGCCCACCAACACTTTCTCAGTCAAACTGATTTTAGACTTCTGGCTCCCACTTTAACAGGACATATCACGTCTGTATCTCCAATTCCAATCCTGCACCTAATCATCCTCAAAATGTTAAGAGTACAGCGATCTGAAAAATGACTTTGAGTCTTTTTGGGAAATAATTGAATTCTTCCTCTTGAGGTCTTGGCCACCTCTTCTTTGAATAGGTAATAAGATTCCAAACTAACCAAGGTCTGGGATTTAGAAATCTTTCTGATTCTTGTTTACCTCTTTACCTTCTTTCCATCAGCACTCTTATTAGCTGTCCATCTATTTTGCCTAGTAATGTCATGTTCTATTGATTACCTTCTCAACTCTCAGTGTAGCAGAGCTGGTCACATTGGCTATGTGGAGGCTTCAGATGGGCTCAAAAACACAGACTCTCATTTACCAAGTTTGACATAAAAGCTTCTAATTCTGGATTTCTAATCTAACAGTAGCAGAGATTAAAACTGACCCTCTAATATTTAGCTCTTACTAAAAGACCAACAGTCTATTTGGTAGCAAGCTTGTTATATTGGATATCTTGTATCCTGATAGGTTCACAGGTTTATTAAAAATATATGCTTATTTATAAAATGGGTTTAACATTTCTGCCTGCAAAGCTTGAGCCAAAACCATTATCTGGATCTTAAGGGGTAACTGAACTATAGGTATTAGAATCCACATAACATCTGACCAAAGACTCAGTTCATAGTGAAGGATGTGTGGGAGTGGGCCCATTACCGTGGGACATTTTTTGTATCACATATTTCACTATTTAGAAACTGTAGTCTGGTAGAGAATTGGAATAATCTTCTGAAGGTACAGCTGAAGCATTAGCAAGAATGGAGTGCCATTGTCTCTATGGCATTGTGTCCCCAGTGGGAAGAAGGCACAGGTAGTAGAACTAACATGTGAAAGCTGGGGTGGTCCCAATTATCATCATTAACAATGTGCCAATGGGAGACTTCGTGCTTTCCATCTTCACAGTTCTGGGTTCTGCAGGGTTACATGTCCTGGTCACCAGAAGGTGGTAAGCTGTTATCAGGGAATATAACCAGGATTTCATTGTGCAACAAGCTCTGGCTGCTGAAAGAAAGGTCACAATCATGTAAGAAGTAATTAGCCCTGAATGCAGAAAGAAGTAGGGCTACTGCTGCATATGGCAGTAGGGAGGAAAACAATGGGTATTCTTGGTACTCCCTGTCATGGCTGTGACTGTAGATGCACAAGTGCAAGAAATCTAGTCAGATAAAATCATGTGTTCCAGGGTTACAGATGCCTCAGAAATATAACTTTGGGTCATATCATATGGTATTTACCATATGACTGACACATACCAACTGACACAAGTAGAAGTAATAGGATAAGTTGAGTGGAATTCAGAGTGGACAGTGGAAAAGGGAGAATTTGGCAGGGGGAGGGGTGTAGGGTTTTTTAAAGAATTGATTCACATGATTATGGAGGCCAGCAAGCCCAAAATCTGCAGTACGGACTGGCAGTCTGGATAACTGAGAGCCCATGCCTCAGTTCAAATCCAAAGGCTCACTGCTGGCCGAATTCCTTCTTCTCAGGGGAGGTCAGTCTGTGTTCTATTAAAGCCTTCAGCTGATTCGATGAGGTCCACTGATATTTTGGAAGTCAATCTTCTTTATTCAAAATTTACCATGTTGATATCATCCTGAATAAAACACCATCACAGACAATTATCCACAATAATGTTTAACTATCAAAAGGTCTCATTCCCAATCAACCTCTTGGTTCTAAATCTATTTTGTTATCTTCCAAGAGGACCAAGTCAAAACCAAAAGAACAATAAAAATGATTATTATTGGTAAGTGTTCTGTAAGCGTAGGTAAAATCATCATAACTATTCCTAGAGAGAGACAACAAAAGGTGATGATAGCCGTACAAATTTATGTTAGAGTTACTAATACTGGCAATTAAAAATAACTGGGAATTAGAGACAAAATGTGGAAAAGAAAGGTGAGACAGCCAAGTAAAAAGGTCTCCCCAGAGAACCTCCAACTGGCCTGTGCACTGGGAAAAGCTATGGAAGTTCACACCATTTGCAGAGGGGAGGAGCCCAGCCTTTTGAGTTCCTATGTGGTGGGGTGAGAGCTGGTTAACAGGCTTCCCTGTCACTTTTAGCAAAATTTTTCTCCTTTTTCATTTTTGCCCAATAAATTCCATTTTTCTCACCCTTCTATGTGTCCATGAACCTAATCTTTCCACGTCATCTGACAAGAACCTGGTTTTTAACTGAACTAAGGAGAAAGTCCTGAAACATTTTGGCACCCCACATGGGACTTGAGAAAGGGTTAGTGAGACGCAAACCAAAAAAATCTTTTTCTCTTTTGCTTCTAAGCCTCTTTTCCCTCGGACTTCTTCTGAGGGTAAACTATGCTGCCACCTTCCATTGCTCCTGGGGGTCATGAATGTTGACCTCAGTCCAACCAAGTCTTTCCATGGCTGTTTCCTTCCTTTTTCGGGAGATGGGTGAGCAGTGGCTCTCCACCACCCTCCCCTCCCTGCCAGGGCTGGGACACATGACACAAGGGCCCCTGCAACTATCTGGTGTTTCCCACCACACACTTGGGGGTCTCCCTCTCCCCAGTCCTGGGAATTCAGCTCCATCCCAGAGCAATTAAGCTTTTCTTCCTGGTAAAGGAACCACTTGCATAAGAATAAGAAGTTCATCCCAGGGCATCTTTATCTCTACCCTGTCAGCCGGTAACTTTTAAATGAGTTTTTTCCTTTGGAAGACATTTTGGTGGGCCAAGAATGATTGGGACCATGGTTCATATTCTCTGTAGAGTTTTAATTTTAATTGTGAAAAAGGATTTGTGAAGCTGGTCTCAAGGTGTAGCCAACCTCCTGTGCTTTGCATGTCTTTCTGTATGGTCCATAGCAAACTTTGCTGCAGGCCTCCATCTTGTTTTACATCCTGGGGGCGTGGCCTGTAACCCCGTTGCAGCGCTTTGTTTAGCGTCTGTATTAGTCTGTTTACAGGCTGCTGATAAAGACATACCTGAGACTGGGAAGAAAAAGAGATTTAACGGACTTACAGTTCCACATGGCTAGGGAGGCTTCAGAATCATGGTGGGAGGTGAAAGGCACTTCTTACATGGCAGTGGCAAGAGAAAAATGAAGGAGAGGCAAAAGCGGAAACCCTTGATAAACCCATCAGATCTCATGAGACTTATTCACTATCACAAGAATAGCACTGGAAAGATCGGCCCCATGATTCAATTACCTCCCCCTGGGTCCCTGTCACAACACATGGCAATTCTGGGAGATACAATTCAAATTGAGATTTGGATAGGGACACAGCTAAACCCTGTCAGCTTCTGTGCATCCAGGATTCAGTTCTGGCTTAGAAAATCAGTCCTATCTGGTCTGATATCTGCATGACCTTTTGCTATTTGTTGATTTCCTTCCCCTTCATGAACAGGCAGAAATATTGACAACTTGTTGGGTAATAAGGGAGATAAAAGGATTTTCTTAAGAAGCTCTCAGCTTAATTAGAAGTAGATATCCAAGTTATAGTTAGATGTAAAAAGCCTCTATGTTTTCTTTTTATTGGACCTTGTTTTGCTGGAAAAAGGATTTTTTTCAGTCAACGGTATTATTTTTCTCAATTTTTCCTTGCCAATTTTACTGCACACATGAGAGTGGAGAGACCTTTGGTTTCCTCATGGAACCCCCAAAATTAAAAGCAGATAGAGCCCTCTCCCCATGATCAAACATCTTATGGCAACTGTTTTAAATGTTTTAAATTAGATTAAATTCTTCTGCCTGTCTGTGTAGTTGTATATGTGTTGTGTATGTGATGTCTATAAAAAGAGCCCTAATTAATTTGGCATAAAGGAAGACAAGTGCTTGGATCAAATATTTTTTAAGGGGAATATAAAAGCTGTGGTACCTTTCAATTCATGTGACTTTAATCCTTGAGAAATAAAAACAGCCTTAAAGATTATTGGTAAAACGCAGGTGTCATCAAAATATAAATAGGTGGACTAATTTTTGCAGGTCAGATGCAAGGTTTTTAAGTGTTTTGAGGTTATAAACTGCTTTTTGGTTTTTGAGAACTGTTCAACTTGGTAAGGCCGGGGGACATATGAAATTAACCACAACCTTAATTATGCTGCAAGGAGTCAAACTTTGGCTGCACCTAGCACACAATCAAAACACTTACTAGGGTTTACATTAAAGTTAAAAACTGCTAAAAGTAACCATTAGGACATGCAATTGAGACTCCTGGAAATAGATTTACATGTGAGGTGTGTAAGGTCAGTAAAATGTGTTTTTAATAAAAGATTATCAGAAGGCATAAAAATGTGAATACTGGCCGGGCACGGTCACTTACGCCTGTAATCCCAGCACTTTGGGACACCAGGGAGGGTGGATGACAAGGTCAGGAGATTGAGACCATCATGGCTCACACGGTGAAACCCCATCTCTACTAAAAATAAAATAAAATAAATTAGCTAGGCATGGTGGCACGCGCCTATAGTCCCAGCTACTCCAGAGGCTGAGGCAGGAGAATTGCTTGAACCTGGGAGGTGGAGGTTTCGGTGAGCTGGGAGCGCACCACTGCACTCAAGCCTGGGTGACACAGCGAGACTTCATCTAAAAAAAGAAAAGTGTAAATACTTGCCTAGGGTTTAAAAAATATTTTAAATTAGATAAGATAAAGCTAAAAGTTCAAACAAGTGGTGGAAGGATTGTAAAAACTAATCTTGCAAATATTCTGTGTGTGAAAATATTGACTAAATTCAAAAGGGTATTATATGTTTTTTCTGTAAATTGAGCATTAAAATAAAAGCACAAGGTACTCTTAAGGCACTAATCTGCTCTTTAGAAAAATTTGTAAAGGGTTTAAAAGGGTTTTTTTGCTTTTTAAATTTTTCTTAGTCATTGTTTTGGCAAAAGAAATAACTTACGGTAATCTGGAATTTTATTTCATAGCACCAAGTGTTTCACAACTCTACCATATTTAACAGGCTTCCAAATATCAAACTTCAGTTTCAAAATTGTCTTTGCTCACACCTGGCTTTTCAGATACTTCAGGAGGGCCCCTGGAGAATCCAGAAAAGAGAGGTAAACAGAATTATATAACATGTTTAGGTACATGGGGTTGCCAAAATGGTGTTCAATATTCTTTAGGCTTTATTTTGGTGAATAATATTAATATAGTGAATAATATTAATATATGTTCTAAAATTTTATGGGATTTCCAAAATTCTAATGTCTGAGTATGTGCTATCAATCATAATTAAGGTTGTTATGTTAAGTTATTGTAAACCACAGAGATAACCAAACTTCTTTGTCAATTGTGTTTCTAACTGTAACTACCATGGACATTTTGTTATTCACAGACAATTGTTTTCTTGTTTGGATCCTTTTAAAAAGATGGTTTATAATAAACTATAGAACATTGACAGGTGCTCTCAAACATGGATTTCTGATAACTTTGAAGGTTATAACATTGGAATGAAGAAAAAATATACAGGACTCATGAGAGCTGAAATGTTCAAGAATATCAAGCAAAATAAGAGTTATCTAAATGGACTGAACTCAGAAAGCCAAAGCAATCTTTTTGACATTTGTTTGGAACATTACTGATCCTGTTTTGTTTTTCAGAGTCAAAAAAACTTATTTTGAACAATTTATGGCCTTTAATAATTAAGTAAGTTATATTCCTGTGAAAAAAATTTGGATCATGTTTTTTTCTGTCTGCCTGGTTCCTCTAGAATTTGAAAACTAAATGTGAGCATTCTTAACTTATGGCAATAGAGTTGTTTGCCACGAGTGCAGTAAGAATCTACTTTTCTTTTGTAACAGGACACAATTGGAGAAACTGGTTGTTTTACCAAGGCTATGACTAGAAGGGTATGCTTCCCTTTAGGGAGTCAAGCTCAACTTGCAGAGCTGACAAAAGCCACTTGGGGAAAAAACAACCTCATACCTTAGCCTATACAGACCCTATACGGGGTTTCTGACCCATAGTCAGTAAAGAATGTCACTTTCTAACAGGCTCAGGAACTCCAAATTTTTCTTGAGATCTTAAGAGGAGAGGATCACACAACTCTCAGGTATGGGAGGATACAAACCACGGCTGGGCTCTGCTTTAGGAGGTCTTATCTGAGATTCCCTGTGGAACAGTGTTCCATCAAAGCCGATCTAAAAGGCCTATGTAGAGATAATTATTCTTGCTGCACTTCATGCAAATAATCAGGCCAAGTACAAGACTAAAATCTGTTTTGCAAACAACTCAGTCCTATCATGATATCTTTTTATTAGCAAAAATGAGGGCTGGAGAGAGAGAAATTTTGTTTCAGAGCTTATTATACAGGTGTCATTAAATTTTAAACTCAGTTGTTTTTAAGTTTTTGCCTACACTTTAGACTAACCCTGCTTATCCCTGTGAACCAACCAGCAAACTCTGGCTGCAGCTCAGAAGGAACAAGAGGGCTGGGTAATGCAAAAATCTGGATCAATATTCTTGTTCTGAGAAATTATCCTGCAAATCCTGCCAGATGATGGGAATAAATAGGGTGCCATAATCTGGAGGTTTCCTTTTTGGGAAAGTAAGACCGAGGGAGCTAACCAAAGTCAAGCACCATGCACCCAAATTTTAGTAAGAATAACTATAGCCACCAGTTATCTCTGTGTCACAAGACATCTTTTTCTCTCTCTTATTGGAAGAGGACTCAATTCCACAGCTTCAGCGTAGCATTTGGCTTATGATAAGTAGGCTATGCAATCCCCCTGAGACACTTTTTTGTCTCAAACTCAATTCCAAGATTTGGGTCAGAGCCCTAGGAAAGAAAACTGGATCTGAGGTATCCAGAGGCAGATGATAATGATAGTTACAGGCATTGCACAGTTGAGTATAGCTGATTCCTGCCAATTAAGCCAAGCTTCTCGTTTCACGGATAAAGGCCACACTCATATCCATGGCATAAATAAGGTCTAGGGAATTCAAGGCTGCTGACAGCAGGTGAGATAGGGTGTACGTGAGTAAGAGCAGATATGCCCACCCATTAACATGAGTGAAAATTGCTTTAACACCCATAGGTGGCACCCTGTAGAGGTTGCCAGGAACCGAGGATACAAGGAGGAAGGAAAGAAAAAGGAGTGCCTCACTTTCCCTCGGTCACATACCCCAGGTATTTGTTAGGGAAAAAAAAGGAACCAGGGATGCCTGTTCTCTTCTTTCTAGATGGATAGCCATTCATCCGGTCTGTACCCCTTTTGAATGCATCTTGAACCTCTGGGACTCCTTTGAAAAAACACCTTCTTTTTTCCTTTCCCTCTTCTGTCTTCTCTTCACAGATAGGTAATTGTGTCTCCATACTAAGGGACATTCTCCTCCGATGCAGCCTCCAATCTGGAAAGGGTTAATTTCCCAAACCTTAAACTGGTTGGCTTAGGATTGGGCTCAGGGGAAGGGAACCCAGAAGCATGATATGCCAGCAAAAGGATAAAATTTTTTTTTTTTTTAACCAATCGGGACTTTGGCCTCCCTCTCCCTGTGTAAACTGGTAAAAGGCCTGGGGATCTTTGAGCTGTCCTCACCTCGCCCTTGTTTCATTTTGATACATGTTTTCTAATAATCCAGTTAGTCACTTCTGACTTTCAGGCCATCAGGTTCCAAAGGGTCATGCAACTGGAGCTTTGGACAATGGCCCCTTTTGCCTGAGATCCTTAAATAGGCCTCTTAGAGAACTATGACTGCTCTTTTCCCAAAACAGTGCCCCTTGTAAGCAGGAAGCAGTTAAGATTGGTCTTTGTCCTTATCCTTGTTTGTACTTCTTTAGAGTGGGGAATGAGACAGCCAAGCAGAAAGGGCTCCCCAGAGAACCTCTGACTGGTCTTGCCCTGGGAGAATGGGGTGGAGCCAGGGAAGTTCACACCGTTTGCAGAGGAGAGAAGCTTGGCCTCATGCATTCCTGCATGGTGAGGCAGAAGCCAGTTAACAGGCTTCCCTCTCACTCTGCTGAAAGTTTTTCCCTTTTTCCATTTTTGCCCAATAAATTCCTTTTTTCTCACCCTTCTAGATGTCCACAAGCCTAATATTTTCTGGTCATGTGACAAGAACCTGGTTTTTAGCTGAACTAAGGAGAAAGTCCTGCAATAGAGGAAACCTAACTGCTTTTATAAAAGCAAACAATAATAAAAAAAAAACACCCTTCAGACTTAAACAATTAAGTTATAAATTCTGACTGCCATTACTAAATCAATGGTCTTCTGCCTCTCTTACATCTGACAAGATTGATGGCTTTATTTTCTAAGATGTGTTTCTATTTTCAAGACTAACCATGTTATTTATTATATCTTGAATTTAATTTTTAGAGAGCAGTTTTACCCCATTTATCTAAATTTACCCCTCAGTTCTGACCAGATTGGTAAGAAGAGCTGGGGATGGTGATGAGAACAGTCATCAGGTAGGCAGAATCATATGAAAACCTTTCCAGGAATGGGTGGAGATGGCTTTCTGTTTTCTTTCTGTTGTTGCTGTCGTGGTGGCAAGAACACTTAACTTGAGATCTACCTTCTTAACAAATTCATAGGTACACAATACACTATTGTTAAATACAAGCACAAGATTGTACAGCAAATCTCTAGAACTTGCTCATCTTACATAGCTGAATCTTGAAAGCCACTGAAGATCAACCCTCCACCATTTCCCCTCAGCCCTAGCACTGCCAACTGCCCTATTACTCTGTTTCCCTGAGTTGGATTAGTTTACATATCTGGTGGAAGAGGAATCGTGCAGTATTTGTAGAATGGTTTGGAGATTGGTTTATATTACTTAACATGGGGTCCTCCAGGTTTATCCATGCTGTCGCATATAGCAGGATTTCTTTTATTTTTAAAGCTGAATAATATTTTATTGTAGGTATATACAACATCTTGTTTATCCACTTATTCTATTGATAGATATTCATGCTGTTTCCATATCTTGGCTGTTGTGAACAATATTACAATATACAGGAGTGTACATATCTCTTTGATATTTTCTTTTTAATTATTTTGGATATATACCCAAAAGTTGGATTACTGGATCCCACAGTAATTTTATTTAAAATTTTTTAGGAAACTGCATAATATTTTCCATAGCAGCTGTACAATTTGTCATTCCTATCAACAGTGTATAAGGATTCCAATTTCTCCTCATCCTCATTAAAACTTGGTATCTTTTTAAAACAGTAGCCATTATAACACATGAAAAGTGTAATCTTACTGTGGTTTTGATTTGCATTTCCCTGATAATTAGTGATGTAGAGCATTTTTTTCATATCTTTTGGTTATTTGTATGTATTCTTCAGAGAAATGTCTATTCAAATATTTTGCCAATTTTTAAATCAAGTTATTTTGTTATTGAGTTGCAGAAATTTGTAGTGTATTTTGGATATTAACACAAATATCCAAATATTTGTTTACAAACATTTTCTTCCATTCTGTAGGTTGCCTTTTCACTTTGTTGATTGCTTTCTATGGTGTACAGAAGCTTTTTAGTTTGAAGTGTTGAAGTAGCCCCATTTGTCTATTTTTGCCTTTGTTTCTTGTACTTTTGTGATCATAACCAGAAAGTCATTACCAAAATCAATGTCATAAGACTTTTTCCCTGTTTTCTTCTAAGAGTTTTGCAATTTCATCTCTTACATTTACATCTTTAATCCAGTTGGAGTTGATTTCTGTGTAAGTTATTAGGGCACATTTTATTCTTTTGCATGTGAATATCCAGTATCTAAATATTTGTTGAAAAGATTATACTTTTCCCATTGCATGTTCTTGGCTCCTTGTTGAAGATCATTGGCTATGGAGTGCAGTAAATAATGCATTGGGCTTTCAGAAGCTTGCTGTGTTCTAAGCATAGAAAGAACATTCCCTCTAGTGTACAGATGTACCATAATTACATAGGATATTTTGTAATATTACATAGAAGACAAAAATATTACATAATTACATAGAAGAGAAAAACTAAGAAATGACCTAGGTAAATGATCTGCAACAACTTTCCCCCACTTCTCATTTTACCAACTCTGATTAAAAAGTTACAGCTAGGAAAACATCCACTCTATTAATATAATTATAATGTTCCCCTTTAGGCCATTTAAATCTTCTTATTAAATGTACAAAAATGACACTTTTTTCATGCAAAAATATAATGTTATAAAAGATATACCTTTAAAAGTGGAAGTCTTTCAACATCCATCTCCCAGAAATAACTACATACATCAATGAACTGTATATTATTCAAGAATTGTATTTATGTGGTAATATAATTTGCATTAATACCTAATTTTATCCAGAAATGAGGACATAAATATATGTATTACTTTACAGCACTTAACTAAAACATACAGGACAATTTGTTTCATGTTAGAAAATGTAAATTTTAAAATTATTTTTTATGAATTTATAATATTTCTACACGTTGATAGAATGCAGTTCCTAAATATAATTTATTATGATGTATGTGCTAGTGGTTTTATATTTCTGGTTTTGTACTTTTACGAACATTTTTGTTTAGAAGCCTTAAAATGTGTGGATGGCCTCATGACTGTGTGGTGGTGCTAGTGCAAAAGTCTTGCTGTTTCTTCTGTATATTATCCATATTTGGTTGCTGTATCTGAGGGAGTTGTACCCAATTGCTTCAATGGCCTCTATTGTAATTATCATAATAATCCAAAACATAGAGAAATCCAGGAGAATGCCTAGAGCCAAACCTCTGCTTGATGCCAGAGATCACTGTTCCCCAGTTCAGTGCTAGTACTCAAATTTACTAAAATTTAATTGAGTCTTTTTATCTACCTCATGGTGATAATCCTGGCAATTATGATGACAGGGACTATTTATTGAGTACCTAATATATTAGTATCATATTTTAATTAAATATTTTTACTTTCTTAACATGACAAACCAATGAAGGGATCTATTACTAACTCAATTTTACAAAATAAAAATATGAAGATAGAAGAAACTAATGCTGTTGTTCAGGATTAAATAATTAGGAAGTGGTAATACTGTGATACAAGCCAATAAAATTAGAATTGATAAAAAGTAAAACTTTAGGCATATTGATAGTTGTAGAGCTCCACAAGCAATCCCAAAATACTGCATACTATTTTCACTTACCTTTACTATGTTCCACTGGGAGATTTCTTACATTAATTCCCAGATTGTCGGTTGAGACCAAATTATATTTGTTTGGTTAGAGAATTTGACAAGCACATAAATAATTCAAAATATTTCAGTTAATAGCATAGCAATGTATAAAGAATTATGAGGCCAAAAGAAGAAAGATCATATTTTATTGAGCCTAGAAAAGTACACACAGTAGTTATACAATATCTTACAAATCAATACTGGGGAGATCAGGAAAGACTCATGATAAAGTAATGGTGTTAGCACCACATCAGTATGTTCCAAAAATTCCTGGCAACTCTGGAATGGAAATGTGGTTTGGATTGTGGTGTTGAGATCAGTTACACTGAAAGACAGAGAATCAAATGATCCTAAGGATCTAGAATTACAAATAAAAAATTCTAACTAGCATTTGGAGAAATACAGGATTTTAAAATCCAAATGAATAGGGAATTCCAAGCAAACCCAACCTACTGAGGGCTAATATTAAATACTAAAAAAGGATATTATAACAGAGGAAGTTGAAGAATTGTAAAAATCTCAGAAAATTATTTATAGACTGGGCAGGGTAGAAACTGATGCTAGAACTGTGTCCGGAATTGGTGGGTTCTTGGTCTCACTGACTTCAAGAATGAAGCTGTGGACCCTCGCGGTGAGTGTTACAGTTAAGGCGGCGTGTCCGGAGTTTGTGCCTTCTGATGTTCGGATGTGTTTGGAGTTTCTTCCTTCTGGTGGGTTCGTGGTCTCGCTGGCTCAGGAGTGAAGCTGCAGACCTTCGCAGTGGGTGTTATAGCTCTTAAGGAAGCACATCTGGAGTTGTTCGTTCCTCCTGGTGGTTCCTGGTCTGGCTGGCCTCAGGAGAGAAGCTGCAGACCTTAGTGGTGAGTGTTACAGCTCATAATGGCAGTGTGGACCCAGAGAGTGAGCAGCACCAAGACTTACTGCAAAGAGCAAAAGAACAAAACTTCCACAGCGTGGAAGGGGACCCGAGCGGGTTGCCATTGCTGGCTCCTGGAGCCTGCTTTTAGTCTCTTATCTGGCCCCACCCACATCCTGCTGATTGGTCCATTTTACAGAGAGCTGATTGGTCCGTTTTGACAGGGTGCAGATAGGTGTATTTACAATCCCTTAGCTAGAGGTAAAGGTTCTCCAAGTCCCCACCAGAGTAGCTAGATACAGAGTATCCATTGGTGCATTCACAAACCCTGAGCTAGACACAGGGTGCTGATTGGTGTGTTTACAAACCTTGAGCTAGATACAGAGTGCCCATTGGTGTATTTACAATCCCTTAGACATAAAGGTTCTCCAAGTCCCCACCAGACTCAGGAGCCCAGCTAGCTTCACCCAGTGGATCCCGCACCGGGGCCGCAGGTGGAGCTGCCTGCCAGTCCCGCGCCCTGTGCCGGCACTCCTCAGCCGTTGGGTGGTCGATGGGACTGGGCGCCTTGGAGCAGGGGGCGGCGCTCGTCAGGGAGGCTCCAGCGGCACAGGAGCCCACGGTGTTAGGGGAGGCTCAGGCATGGCGGGCTGCAGGTCTGGAGCCCTGCACCGCCGGGAGGCAGCTAAGGCCCGGCAAGAAGTCGAGCACAGCAGCTGCGGGCCCAGGTGCTAAGCCCCTCACTGCCGCGGGCGGGCGGGGCCGGCCGGCCGCTCCAAGTGCGGGGCCCGCGGAGCCCACGCCCACCCGGAACTCGCGCTGGCCGGCAAGCACCGCGCGCAGCCCCGGTTCCCGCCCGTGCCTCTCCCTCCACACCACCCCGCAAGCTGAGGGAGCCGGCTCCGGCCTTGGCCAGCCCAGAAAGGGGCTCCCACAGTGCAGCGGCGGGCTGAAGGGCTCCTCAAGCGCGGCCAGAGTGGGCGCCAAGGCCGAGGAGGCGCCCAGAGCGAGCGAGGGCTGTGAGGGCTGCCAGCATGCTGTCACCTCTCAGAAAAACGGTTATATACTGAAACTGTAGGAACAGCAAAGAGATTAAAGATCAAGTAAAGAGCAACAAAGGTAAGTAGGAAAACTCTGTTTCATTTCAGGAGAGAACATATGCTCTGATTGGTTTATTCATTATTTATTTCATTTGTCAATGCACATTGCTGTGCTACTTAGCGGCATACAATAGTTAACTGCATTTAAACAAGATAAATAAGCGAATTCTAAAATAAATGAAAATGCAATAAATGCTGTCATTGAATAAGTGTAGAGATTCTGCCAGCACATAGCAACAGGATATCAAGTTGGGTCTAAGAAAAAAACCCACAGGTATTGATATTTAAAACGATGTTTGAAATATAAAACCTAGGAAAGGGAGGGGAGTGAAAACAAGTGCATTGAAGTTAGTATAATCATGGAGGCAAGCAGGCAAGTTGGAGTTCAGCATACTGAACACCCTATGCAGCAGAAGTCAAGCGCAGCTGATTCTGAAAATTACCTGGAACATATTTAGATACACAGACTCTAGGATTTCTTATTTTTAATGTTCAGAATTGGTGTCTTGGAGAATATACATTTTAATAACCCCCAACCCACCTTTTCTGATGTAGTTAGTCACCTCCTCAGTGCATAGAACCACACTCTGGAAGTTCCATCATGCAGAAATTAACAATTTAGGGCCAAGCATAAACGGATCAAGGACGGAGTAGCTGTAAAGCTAAGTCAGTCTGGAACTTTGAGCAGCCAAAGCATAGGAAGGTGAACAGAGCAGGTGTAAGGAGGTCCCTGGGAGCCTCTCCAGTACTGACTGTCAGGCTCAGGCTGCTTTGTATAAGGTGTCAGTTCTATAACCTGGGTATCAATTAAAATAAGAGCAGATTTTGCAGAAAAGACAATCAATGCCTTTAAGGTGTGTTTTACCTGAATGTAACTGGAGGCTATTTCAAATTAGCAGAGGCATAAAAACGGAAAAAATTACAATGGATAAGGACACAGTAGGCTTTTTGAGTATCCAGTTCAAATGAATGCAGCTGCAACTGTTTGTGGAGATGCTGACAGGGTGACATGAGTCACTAACTTGCGTGTTTGGGCTAAGTAATAGGGAATGGAAGAATTGACCTAATTAAAGTTGTATTGCCATTGGAATGTTGGTGTGAGATTAGTTTCGGTCATTTCACTTGTGATGGAATTAACCAGCTGATGTGACTCAGAAGATAGATTGCATCTCAATGTCTTATAGTTTACACACTAAAGAATTCTTCCTCAGCGCAAGTTCAAGGTGAAATGCCTTCTTAGTCTATAGCTGCAAGCATGACTTGTTTAACTTAGAAGAAACGTATGGAATTGATACCTTTTTTATTACCATGTGTAATATGCAATGTGGTTTGACTGGGGCCATTTAAATCATCTGTTCCCTTCACATAACGACCTTTGATTGGGGGCAATCAACTTATTGTGGTGCAAAAGTCATCGCGGTTTTTGCCATTACTTTTAATGACAAAAACCGCGATGACTTTTGCACCAACCTAATACCTAAGCAGAATAACTATTATGAAACCATGTTTGTACTTGTATTGTCAAATTCTGTTGCTTCAGTGGGTTTTCTTCAAGTAATTTTTCTTTAAAAATAAAGCTATTTGACAGTTTTTCTCAAGGACCATGTCTATATAGGCAATGGAAACTGGAGAACTGGACTACTATCCACTGAATATAATAAATCATAAGTCAAGGCCAGCTCTATGCAAATTGAACAATTTGTCCATGTTTCTCCATGAAGCCCCTGATCTCCTCTTAAACAAAGAGCCCACTATTTTAGTGGAAGGTCTCTTCTATCTTTAATCAAAACTGATTTCACTGAGCCCCAAACTATCCAAGGATATTATATTTAAAAAAGAAATAAAGTGTTAAAAATTACAAGATAATTATTTGCATTTTAACTAAAATAAAGTGTGAGAATGTAGGTACATTTTAACCTGCTAGAAAGTGGTTTGAGTGGTCAGATTTTGCCTGAATAATTTGCCTAACATACCCTCATTTCCCTAATTTGCAGTATTTTAACCTGAATCACTTAATTTCTTATATTAGAAACAAATGGTATTCAATAAATGCTTCTTCCTGGAGCAGAATAAGCAGATGACTGCCTTAGAGTCAGTCCAGGGCTGGTTTCTCCAGCAACCCAGGCACACTTCATGCTCAGTGCTTTTTGCGCTTGCTGTCCCTTCAAAGTTTAGATATCCTTATACATTTCTCCATTGAGTGTTTATGCAAATGCTTTCTTCTCAAATTTTTCAGGATGATCTTCTATGAAAGCTTAACCCATTGACTACTCCCTGAAATTCTTAATCCCACCATTCTATTTTTTACTTAATACTGATCACTAATATAGTGTGTATTTTATACATCGCTTGTTGTCTGTTTCTCTCATTACAATGTGAGTAAGCCTACTGAGAACAAGACTCATTGATTTGCTTATTTCTGTAATCCTAGACCCCAGAGGAGGGCTTGAGATATAGCTGACACTATTTTGAAATGATTATATAGTCACAGAAAGTTACACAGAAGTACATAGAGTTCTTGAGTATGGGATCTCATTAATGGGTTCATCTTGCATAAATAAAATACAATACGAATACCAGAAAACTGAGACTGGGTATAATGTGTGTATATAGTTCAATGTCAGTTGATCACATATGTAGACTTGCATAATCACCACCAAAATCAAGATACAGAACTATTACTATTTCATCACAACCATGTCTCCCTCCTGCTACCTGTTTATAGTCACTCTTACTCACTTACCCTTACCATTCCTAACAGTCGACAACCACTAATATGTTTTCTTTCATCATTTTGTCATTTCAAGAATGTTATAGATATGGAAATGCCTGTTCTTTTATACTGCTGAGTAAAATTCCGTGGTATTTATAGAGGATAGTTTGTTTTTAAACTATCACCAATTAAAAGACATGTTGGTTGTGTCCAGATTTTTGCTACTACAAATAAAGCTTGTATGAGCGTTCATGTACAGGTTGTGCGGACCTATGTTTGCTTTTATCTGGGATAAATGTTTACAACTATAATCATTGGGCATTGGTAAGTATATGTTCAGTGGTTTTAAGAAGCCTGCCCAACAATTTTCCAGAGTGGCTGTATCATTTTGCATTCCCACAAATAATGTATTAGAGATCAAGTTCCTTTACATCTTCCACATCACTTGGTATTGTATCTATATTTTATTTTAGTTGTCAGAATAGGCATGTAGCAATATCTCATTATGGTTTTAATTTGAATTTCATTAATGGCTATTGATAATAAAGGATTTTTCATGTGCTTATTTGTCATTTATATATCATTATTGGTAAAATGTCCCTTCCTGACTTTTATAATTGGATTTTTTTTTTACTCTTGAGTTTTGAAAGTTTTTTATATATCCTAGATATGAGTATTTCGTTAGTTTGCAATTTTTTCTCTGTTTTCAGCTTTTTAAAAATTCTTTTAACAATCTTTAATGAAAAAGGATAATTTTGATAAAGTTTAACACGCAGATATTTTTATTTTATGAATTGTGATTTGAGAGTTACGACTAAAAATTCTTCACTAAGCTCTGTGTTCTAAACTTTTTATCCTATATTTTGTTCTAAAAGTTTTATGTTAAGTTTATAATCTACTTTGGACTATTATATAAGTTGAGATTTAAGTAAAAGCTCACTTGTCCCGTTATGGACATACAATTACTTCAGTACCATTTGTTGCAAAGATTATCTTTTCTTCTATAATTTGCTTTTGAACTCTTGTCAAAAATCACTTCACTTTACTTATATAGATTTATATCTAAATTCTCTACTTTGTTTCTGTGGTTTGAGTATGTATTCCACCATGACTACCTGACAGTTTTGATTACTGTGGCTATTTAATAAATAGTGAAATTGGGTAGACTGATTTCTTTCATTTTATCTGTCTTTAAAATATATTTTTCTAATCAACTTCCTTTCCCTTTTCATATAAATTTTAAAATAATCTGACTGTACTTTAAAAATCTTGCTAGAGTTTTGCTAGAAATTGTTTTATGCCTGTAAATCAGTTTGCGGAAAATTAACATTGTTACTTATTGAGTCGTCAAATCTATAAACACGATAATTCTTCAATATTTATGTTTTCTTTGCTCTCTTTCCTGGGCATTATATAGTTAAAACAATTGTATAAATTTGTATAATTCCTGTATTGTTTCTTAGATTCACATGTAAGTATTTACTTTTTGGGTAATTGTAAATGTTGATTGGAAAGATATAGAAATGCAATTTACTTTTGGATATTGATCTTTTATCCAGTGGTCTTGTTTAACTGACTTTTTTTTTTTTTCTTTTTTTTTGAGACGGACTCTCACTCTGCGGCCATGCTGGAGTGCAGTGGTGCAATCTCGGCTCACTGAAACCTCTGCCTCCCGGGTTCAAGCGATTCTCCTGCCTCAGCCTTCTGAGTAGCTGGGGTTACAGGCGTGCACCACCATGCCTGGCTAATTTTTGTGTTTTTACTAGAGGCAGGGTTTCACCATGTTGGTCAGGCTGATCTCGAACTCCTGACCTCGTGATCCACCCGTCTCGGCCTCCAAATAACTCACTTATTAATTTTAGGATTTACTTTTATAAAGTCTTGGGGATTTCCTACACAGCTACCTTGTCTTCAATTAGACAGTTTTATTTTTCCTTAGAGTAATTTATTTAATACTTATAGAGCTATTTAAAACATCTATTCCATACTGGCTGTCTTGATGTAGTTTTTGTTTTCGAGGAATTCATTTATTTCATCTAAGTATATGGGATGGTTGTTTGTATTATTACCTTATTATGCTTTTGCTCTCTGCAGAACCTCTATAGCCCTAGTTTCAATCTTGAAATTGTTAATTTCCATCTTCTCTCATTTTTTTGGTCAGTTTTGCTAGATGTTTGGTAATTTTATTAATCTTTTCAAAAAGCCAGGTTTTTTTGTTATTTTCTGTATTGTTTTTAGTTTTCAGTTTCATTGATTTCTGCTGTTATACTTATTTTTCCGTTCTTTCTGCTTGCTTTGGGTTTATTTACCTCTTCTTTTGTTTGTTTCTTCAAATGCAAGTTTAGATTATCAATCTGAGATTTTTTTTCTTGTTTTCTTTTTAGTGTAAGCATTTAGTGCTATAAAATTTCTTCTCAGCACTGTTTTAATTGTGTCCCCAAAATTTGAATAGGTTTTATTTTTATTTGTATTCACCTAAATGTATTTTAAAAATTTTCCTTTGAGACTTCCTCTTTGACTAATGGATTATTTAGGGGTAAGTGGTTTAATTTCTAAGTGTTTGGGGATTTCCCTGTTTTCTATTATTCATTCCTAGTCTGATTCCATTGTAGTTGGAGAATATTCTCTGAGTGATTTCAAATATTTTAGAAGTGTCGAGGTTTGTTTTATTCACTAGGATATGGTATATCTTGGCATTTGTTGCATAGATACTTAAACAGAATGTATATTCTGATATTTGTGGTTGGAATATTGTATAATGTTGATTATATACTGTCGGGTGATGATAATGTTGAATTCTTCTCTATCCTTAATGATTTTCTTATTTCCAGAGATATTAGTTTTGCCAATAATTATTGAGAGAAGGGTGTTGGACTCTTAGGTTATAATTGTGGATTTGTCCTTTTTTAAAATTTCTGTTCTATAAGTTATTTCTTCACATATTTTTGCAGCACTTTGGTTCATACACATTTAAGATTGCTGTTTTTTTGAATTGATCTTATTAGGTTTTATGTGTCTTCCTGTCTTGTAATTTTCTTTGCTTTGATGTCTACTTTGTTTGGCATTAATGTAACCATTGCTATTTCATTTGAGTTAATATTTTTACAATCCATTTTTTATCATATTTTTACTTTTAAGCTGGGTATATAATTATATTTAAAGTGAGTTTTCTGTACAGATAGCATTTAGTTCAGTCATGTTATTAATCACTGTGACATTCTCTTTTACTTGAATATTTCCACCATTTACATTTAATATAATTATCGATAATTTTAGGACTTAAATCTGCCATTTTTTTGTTTGTTTTCTGTTCTCATTGTTTTCCTATTCTTACCTTTCTGTGGGTTACTTGAACAATTTTGGTTTTGAGGATATTTCTTTGTATAGCTACTTAGCAGTTGCTCTAGGTATTACATATATACTTATTGCATTTATACACAAACACACATACATAAAATATTATCACAGTCTATTGGTATCAGTATTTTACCTGTTGGAGTAAAATATAGACAGCTTACTTTCCTTTATGTGTCTTTAACCTCTTTCATTATAATATAATTGTCTTAAATATTTCTGCTGCTTACATTTAGAATTCCATTAGGCAGTATTATAATTTTCTGCTTTAACCAGCAAGTATTATTTAGAAATTTGATGAGGAGATTTAGTCATATTGATTTTATTCATATGCTTGTTTACAGTATTTTTGATTTTCCAATGATTTTATCATTTCCTCTCTGTTTAAATAAATAACTTTTTAAAGCTATTATCTTAGAGTATATCACTTGGTAACAAATTCTCCTAGTTTTCCTTCATTTGATCATATCTTGGATTTTCCCTTTATTACTAAAGTATATTTTCTGGCTACTGGTAACATATTTTTTTTCATCAACTTTCAGAAGTTTAACAATGATGTGTCTTGCATTTGATTATTCTGTTAGGATTTCACTCAGCTCCTTCACCTGTTGGTTATGCACTTTATCAAATTAAAGAAGTTTTAGCGTATTTTGAGCCCCATCCTCTTTCTATTTGCCTTCTGGGATTTCACATTTTTTGTTACAGTCTCACATGTCCCTCAGACTGTGTTATTTTTTTTCCAGTGTATTCTCTCACTGTTGTTCAGACTGAGCAATTCCTATTATTCTATCTTCCCGTTCAATGATGCTTTCCTCTGTCTCATTCATTCTGCTGTTTAATCCATCCATTAGATTTTAGAATTTCTATTATTGTATGTCTTCTGTACTAAAGTTTCTATTTGGTTCTTCTTTATATCTTCTATTTCTTTACTAATATTTTCTATTTATCTTATGACACAGTCTGTTTTTTACAAATTTGTTTCAAAGCATGAAGCTGCCTCATAATTTCAAGATGAAAGTGGAAGTCCAGGGTTCCCACTTAGCCTCCATTTATACCCAAAGGGGAAGAAAGGTGGCCCTTATCACCGCTGAGCCTGAGCCCGGGTAACACTTCAGACTCTCTTCTAGGCCTCTTCAGAAACCTCCCTGACTGTGAAGAGGAAAGGGCCTTTCTTTACTCCTCCCACCATTGCCTCCATTGACACTGTATGAGTTGGGATCGTTACTGGTAGAGGTCATGAGAGTTCCAACTTTTCACTCGGTCTCCTCTGACACCACTGAAGTTAGGAAGGGGAGAGTTGCTTCAAGAATGCTGGATGGGGATAGAGTTTAGGCTCCCCACATAGCTCAAGTGACACCTTGAGGGCTGTGTCATTTTGTATTTCCATGTTCCTGACTTTTCTAGTACCCAGTATGGCTTATATGTGTCTTAATGAAAACTCAGGGAACTGATTACCATATCATTTGCAAGGGCCTGAAATCCTAGTCTCTGACTTTTTTCAGCACCATTCAAATCATCTTACGTTTCTTTTGTATACAAACTTATATAATACTCAGGGTTTTTAGATGTGCTTAGTAGGAGAAATAGTAAGAAGTACATCTATTCCATCGTTTCCAATAATGGAAAATTTCATAAAACAAATGTTAAATACCTCACCAAACAACACCCAGTGAAAATAGTTTTAAAAATTAAATAGCATATAAAGATTCCATCTCTGAATTTTACCTAAGGTAAACTGATTCAGCTAATAAAACATTCTCAGGATAAATAGAGTTAATTATTTGCATTTAATGATATTTTAAAGTCTTTTGGTTGTTAATTTCTTTCTCAATGCTTTCTTTGCTTTTCTTCTGTTAAGTCTCTGACTCAATAACAATATTGTGCTAACAATTTTTGAGTTGTTAAAAAGTGGAGCTTGTTAAACCAAAATTGCTATTACTGTCATGAATCATAGTCTGCAACACTTTAAGAATTATCCAAATAATGGCCAATGTAACCCTTTTCTAATATCACGTTTTATCTTTTGTGTATAAGATAGGGAAAGAAGAAAGCCCTATTATAAATTTGTAGTAACTTAACTAGTTATTAATAATAGAGGAAGTCTTTCCCAAAACACACTTTTAAATTTCATTTATTTGATGTCACAGAGGTCATTTATTTGCCTGGAAAATGAGAAATTAACGAGAGTATCGCGCGTCTGTGTGTGTATGTGTGTGCGTGCGCACGCATATTACTGTTAGGGGAACTGAAGTTAAAGAGAAAATGAGGAAGGATAGCTTATATAGTACCAAAAATAATTTATCTAGAAATTCAAAATTTTGTACTTCAGTTACTAAAAATTAACCATTTCTAGTACCAGTACCTTAATGCCACACCAATGGCACACATCCTGCTGGAAGATCACAATTTAAACAGTGTGCAGTTTTTACTAGCGGAAATAAAGTTGCAGTGTTTCTCATTTTTCCACATGATCATGTGTAAAAGCATTTCTTGGGAATAATCTAGAAATAAGATTGTTGACAAGTGAGTAATCAGCATCTTTAATATTATTAGCTATTCTCAAATTAGATATTAAAATAATTACAACAATTTAGGCTCAAAATAAGTATGTACAATTTCTCTTTATTTGATGTCCAGACCAATGCTTTGCATCAAAAACCTTCAACTTTGCTGGTTAATATGATGAGCATGAAATAATATATTACTCTTTAAAACTATTTGCCTTTCTCTAATTGCTCATGAGATTGAACATGTGTATACACGTATATGTATATATATATCTATGCCATCTCATTTTCTTTTAGTTTCTCTTTTTACATGATTTTTGCACTTTTCTATTGGACTGACATTTTCTTGAGAATTTGTCTTTTTTTTTTCTATTTGCCGTGTAGTAATAGTTTAATGATCCTTTGAAGTAATGTATGTTTTATGTTCTTGCTGTGTATAACTTATTTTTTCACTTTGTATATGGGGTCATTTCTGTGAGATTTTTAATGTAGCCAAATTTACGAGTGATTTTATTTATGGTTTTTGCTTTCTAAGCTATTTCTTTAATATATCTTCTTCTTGAGTTCATAAAGATATATTTGATATAATTTTTTTTTCTAAAAATTCCAGATCTTTGTTTCTCCACTTAGGTTTTAAATCCACTTTCAATTTATTTTCATGTGTGATATTACCCTGAGGCGTTAGAAATGATGTTCATTCTCTATTGTTGCATGACAAATTATCATCAATTTAGCACCTTAAAAATTCATTCATTTATTATTGCAGAGTTCTCTAAATCAAAAGTCTGTGTAGCCATTGCTGACTCTCTATCTAAGGTCTCACGAGGTTTAGAACCAGGTGTTACTGAAGGGGACTCAAATCTGGAAGCACTGGGGAAGAATGTACTTCCAGCTCATTCAAGTAACTGGCAGTATCTAGTGAAACTCTGTTATAGAACCAAGGTCCTTAATGTTTTTCTTGAGTGTCAACTGGGGATCACCCTCAACTTTTAGAGGCCACTCAGGTCCTTTCCATGTGAACTTCATCTTTCAGCCCGCAATGGAATCTCTCTCGGTCTCTGCCTCTCTCTCTCTCTCTCTCTCTCAGTGTAGCGTTCATGCATATCGATTTTTGATTTCCTTTATTATCATCCAGAGAAAACTCTGCTTTTGAAGTCATTTGATTAGTAACCCTAATTACATCTGAAAAAATGCATTTGTCACATAACATAACCTAATCATGGATATAATACCAGGGAATGAAGTTCAGTGGGGCCATCTTGGGATTCTGCCTATTGCATAAGTGGGATAAATTTGGGACCAAATTATTTTAAATTTACTCTGCGTTTCCTGTTTGAATCTTACCCACAGGGAGCTGAGAGGGAAATTGAGATATTCTTAGGCTACATGTTCCTAGAAGCATTTAAAACATATATTGAAATATTTTTAAAATAATGTTTTGGTCTTGTGATATAGTCAGAAATACAATATTTGAGCATGTTTTTACCTTAATTTTAAAAACTCTCTTCTTTACATGTCTATTATTAGTGTATTTAACTTAATAATTAACACAGAAGTCAATGACATATACTATATTCTTAACTTTTGTTGGAGAGAGAGATGACTTTGAATGAATATACATGCCATACTGAATTTAAGGTAGTAACTCAATTATGAGCATGTTGATAGGATAGGAAAAAGATAGAACAGATGTGCATGCACATTTAGCGTCTCAGAAATTAAGCTTCTGCAGGAAACTTTAGGCTTTTTTTGTTTTTAGTTCTAACATGCAACGAAGTGAATTTTTGTAATGAACTTGTATACATCTGGAGCTCCTTAAATTATTGTTTTGATTTCATATAAAGTGAACATTGCATGCAAGAGTGACCTTGGGATGTTTTCTCTGAATACATATCCACAAATCTTTGATCTAATACAAATAATTGAAATGAGTGAGCCATGATTTACTTTCAAATTGAATTATGTGGCATTTCAAGGGAATGGATATAATGTATATAAATATATATACACACGTGTGTGTGTGTGTGTGTGTGTGTGTGTATATATATGTGTATATATATATATGTGTATATATATATGTGTATGTGTATATATATATATATATATATATATATATATATACACATTTCCTTTTCTACTTCTTTCTTTGTTCTCAAGGACTTTTCTTTCTATAGACTTGGGCCCTAGAGATCAACTAGCTAACGTAATCATTCAAATGTAAAGTCAGTGAAATCTGCCAAGGTAAAATGACTTACCTAAAATTGCACGGAGCTGATTCTCAGATCTAGGCCATGTGGCTTAGCCTTGTCTTCTGTGACATTATTCTGGCTCGCCAAGTCATTCAATTTATAACTCTACTTATATAACACAAATTAGACGGTTATAAATCATTTGTTAAATTTCAGAGGACTGAATTAGTGAATATCTGGGGCAAAAAATGTTATGCTGAGAAAATCCTGAATTTGTTTTAACCTAATTTCCCTCTAACATGAATGGAAAATAGATTTGTCTGTAACTAAGTTGATTTTTAGTTCTTTCCTACATTTTCTTTAGACACATGATCGAACTTTGGATAAGCTTACATGAAATATGGTAATAATTCAACTGTAATTTTTTATTCTTGATTTTCCTTTTCATAGAATTGATGTTTTTATCTCTCTGATAGTTAAAGCAATGGGATGTTCTACATATTTTATTCATATAATTACTGCAAACAAATGTAGTTTAGCCTTTGTTAGAAAAAAATCATGTTCCCTATTACTCTGAAACACTTGCACACTTTCGTTTGTTTGTTTTGTTTGTTTGTTTCACTGAAAGATGACCTTATCATCTTTGGAGGCAATGCATCAACCTTCACTCCTTAACTACAGTTATCCTGCAAACTCCCCACTCCAAGACTTTTCTCACCTTTGCAGGCTTATCTCTTATGTAAAGTCGTATTTCAGGGTTCTTATTACTTTAGCTGCTGCTTGTCAGAAAAATTAAAAAAGTGAGCATGTTGGTTTAACAGTATTGAGAGCCCACTAAAAATACCATGCTGGTGCATGTTAACATGCAATTAGCCCTACTTGAAGCCTAGGCTAAATTACTACTCAATTGATATGGGACAGACAAGAAGGGGTTGATGGAGGAAAAGAGTCAAGAGCAGATGTAAACCCATACTCCAGGGTTATCGATTTATCCTGCTGAAACAGTTTAATGGAGAAATTTATCACTCACCCCAATTAATGTGAACATGGTATAAAAAATAAATTAGGAGCTGGAAGCCAGGAGGTCATATGAATGTTATAATATAGTTGTATTATAAGGAATAAGAACTTGAACCAAGTAATTAGCAATAGGAATGAAGAGGCTGTTTTTAAAGGGAAAAAGCGAGTCTTAATGATTAAATAGGTAAGAGGATTAAAGTAGGCAGAAGAGCAAAAGACAAGTATGTTGCTCTATTCTTCTGGACCAGAGAGAAAAGTGATGACATTACAAATAGGAAATTCTGAAAAAAACAAAAACAAAAAAAAACATGATTTGAGAGAGAAGAAAGTTTGTTTTAATATATATTCATTAAGGGACATGGTGGTAAGAAAGCAAATCTTATTAACCCCTAATCACTTAGGGACAAAAACAGAAATACAACTTTTTAAAATAAGAATGGCAGGTGGTTTCTAAGTTCCATGCGACTTACAAACAAAACTGAATGTTAAAATATATTTTTTAAAATATACGGCTTTAATTCTTTTTATTAAAATATGTTTCCCTCAACTTGCTGACAACTAAGAAAATTTTCAATTTTCTTCTTAATGTCTTCATTGACCCACTGGTCATTCAAGAGCATATTGTTTAATTTCCATGTGTTTGTATAGTTACCAAAATTCCTCTTGTTACTGATTTCTAGTTTTATTCCATTGTGGTCAAAGAAGATGCTAAATATTATTTTAAATTTTTTGAATGTTTTAAGACTTGTTTTTTTGACTTAACGTATGGTCTACCCTTAAAAATGATCAATCTGCTGAGGAGAGGAAAGTGTATTCTGCAGCCGTCAGATGAAATGTTCTGCAAGTGTCTGTTAGATCCATTGGTTCTATAGGGAGAATTAGCTATGAAGTTTCTTTGTTGATTTTCTGTCTGGAAGATCGCTTCATTGCTGAAAGTGGGGTGTTGAAGTCTCCCCCTATTATTGTTTTGGGGTCTATTTCTTGCTTTAGCTCTAACAATATTTGCTTTAATATTTGCATCACCTTTGGAAGCAACACATCAACCTTTGCTCCTTAACTACGTTTATCCTCCAAACTCTCTACCCCAAGACTTTTCTCACATTTACAGGCTCGTCTCTTACATAAAGTCATATTTCAGGGTTCTCATTACTTTTGCACTAGATATTTTGCCCAGATATTATCTAATAATATTATTAGATATTATTATTTGATAATGGGTGCTCCAGGGTTGGGTAAATATTTATGTACACTTTTATATTTGCTGAATTGACTGCTTTGTCATTACATAGTGGCCTTATTTGTCTCTTCTTATAGTTTTGTCTTGAAATCTATTTTGCCTGATAGAAGTATAACTACTACTGCTCTTTGTTTTGGTTTCTACTGGCATGTAATATCTTTTTCCATCCATTTATTTTCTGGCTATGTGTATCTTTACAGGTGAAGTGTGTTTCTTGTAGGAAATTGATCACTGATTCTTATTATTTCATCGATTGAGCCACGTGGTGTTTTTTGATTTTAGTCCATTTACGTTCAATGCTATTATTGATGAGTAAGGATGTAGTCCTGGCATTTTGTTATTTTTTTTCTGATTGTTTTATGGTCTTTTTCTCCTCTGGTATTTAATTTCTTGCTTCTTTTTTGTGTGTATTCATTGTATGTTTTTTTGATTTGAGCTTACCATGAGGCTTGTATGTACTATCTTATAACCCATTATTTTAAGCTGATAACAACTTAGCATTGTTTGGATAAAGAAACAAACAAGCAAAAAGAAAACTAATAAAAGCTCTAAACCTTAACATTGTACCTTAACATTGTACCTCCACTTATTAACTTTTTATTGTTTTCTTTATATCTTATTGTACTATCTATATCTTGAAAAGTTGTTAGTTATTTTTTATTGGTTCATCATTTAGTCTTTCTACTTAAGACTAGTTAATACACTACAGTTACAACATTATAATATTCTGTGTTTTTCGTGTACTTAGCAGTGAGTTTTGTGCCTTCAAATGATTTCTTATTGCTCATTAACATCCTTTCCTTTCTGGTTTACGTACTCCTTCTAACACTTCTTCTATGACAGGTCTGGAGTTGACCTCGTCTTTCATTTGTCTGAGACATTCTTTATTTCTCCTTCATGTTTGAAATATGTATTCATTATTCTAGGGTAAACATTTTTTTCTTTCAGTACTTTAAGTATGTCATGCTGCTCTCTCCTGGTCTAGAAGGTTTCCACTGAAAAGTTTGCAGCCAGACCATTGTATGTTATTTGTCTCTTTTTCCTTGCTGTTTTTAGAATCTTTTCTTTATCCTTGACTTCTGGGAATTTTATTATTAAATGCCTTGAGGTAGTCTTATTTGGGTTAAATCTGCTTGGTATTCTATCATCTTCTTGTACTTGGGTATTAATATCTTTCTCTAGGTTTGGAAACTCCTCTGAAATTTTTCCTTAGGATAAACTTGCCACCCTTATGTCTTTCTCTACTTCCTCTTTAATGCCAATAACTCTTAAATTCACCCTTTTGAGGCTATTTTCTGGATCCTGTAGATGTGCTTGGTTTTTTTTTCTTTTTTTCTTTTGTCTCCTCTGACTGTATTTTCAAATGGCCTGTCTTCAAGCTCACTAATGCTTTTTTTGTACTTGATAAATCCTGCTATTAAAAAACTAATGCTAGCTGCAGTATGTCAATTGAAATTTTCAGTTCCAGAATTTCCACTTGATTCTTTTTAATTGTTTCTATTTGTTACATTTATCTGATAGAATTCTGAATTCCTTCTCTGTGTTATCTTGAACTTCTTTGAGTTTCCTCAAAGCAGCTATTTTGAATTCTCTGTCTGAAAGGTCACATATCTCTGTTTCTCAGGATGGGTCACTGGTGCCTTATTTAGCTCATTTGTTGAAGTCATGTTTTCCTGGATAGTCTTGATGCTTGCGGATGCTTGTCTGTGTCTGGGCACTGAAGAGTTAGGTATTTATTGTAGTTTTCACAGTCCTGGCTTATTTGCACTTGCTCTTCTTAGGAAGGCTTTCCAGGTATTTGAAAGGACTTAGATGTTGTGATCTAACTTATACTGGGGGGCATCCCAAGCCCAGTAATGCTGTGGTTTTTGCAGACTTGTAGAGATATCACCTTGGTGGTCCTGTATAAGATCTGGGTTACTAGGCAGAAGCTCTTGTTCTCTTCCTTTTTTTTCTCCTAAACAAATGGAGTCTCTCTCTTTATACTGAAACACATGAAGCTGGGGATGGGTTGACACAAGAAGCCCTGTGACCACCACCACTGGGACTGGGCTGTGTCAGGCCTAAAGCCAGGATGGCACTGGGTCTTGCCCAAGGCCCACACTGTAACCACAACTTGGGTATTGCCTGTATTTATTCAGGGTTCTGTGGATCTACAATCAGCTGGTGTCCTTCCCTTAAGGTTGATGAGTTTCCCCAGGCCCCAGGTGGGTCCAGAGTTGCCCTAAGGGAGCCAGGGACTATAGTCAAAAGCCTTAGAAGTCTACCTGGTATCCTGTTATACTGACCTGGTGTCCTGTTGTACTGTGGCTGAGCTGGCACTCAAACCATGAGATGCAGTCCTTCCCACGTTTTCCTCTCCTTTCCACAGGCAAAGGAGCCTCACCTCATGGCCACCACCACCACAGACCCACAGGGAGTACTGCCATGCTACTGTCCATGTTCTCCTCAGGCCCCAGGAACCTCCAGTCAGCTTGTAAATGCTACCTCACTTGGGACTCTCCTTTCATAGCAGTAAGCGTCCCTCTGAATGTCCAAGACCCAAGGCCTGGAATAAGGAACTCCAAGAGCCCACTTGGTGCTATACCTGTGGCCAAGCTGGTACCTAACGTGCAAGAAAAAGTCCTCATTGCTTTTCCCCCTGCTTTTCTCAAGCAGAAGGAACTCACCTCATAGCCACCACAGCTGGGAATATGCTGAGTCTCACAAGAAGCCAGCGAGTCTTAGAGTCTCACCCAAGGTCCACAGTTTACTACTTAGGTATTGATGCTGGCTATTCAGGGCCTAAGAGCTCCCTAGTCAGCAGGTAATGGCTCCTGTCTGAAATGGGCTTTTCCCTTTAAGTTAGCAGTTTCCCCTCTGGACCAGGATGTATCTAGAAATTTCATTTGGGAGCTAGGGCATGGAGAGATGGCCTCACAACTCTGACTGGTGTTCTGTCCTGCTGTGGCTGAGCCAGTATCCAAGATGCAAGACAAAGTTCTCTTTACTCTTCCCTCTCCTCTTCACAAGCAAAAGGAAGGAGTCTCTTTTGGAGCTGTGAGCTGTGCAGCCCCAGCTATAATCACTATATATAAGTATTTTTTGAGTTCTTGCTTTCAATTCCTTTGGGTATATACCTAAAAGTAGAACTGCTGGGATATACGGTAATTCTGTGTTTCACTCTTTGGGAAACTGTGAAACTATTTTCCACAGGTGCTACACCATTTTAAATTTCCACTATCAATGCATTTTTCATCACGTTTATAGGTTAATTTCATTGGATAGAGCATTCTAGGTTAGTGTTTTATTTTTCTCAAAGCTTTAAATATTTCATTCTATTCTTTTCTTGTTTGCATGTAATTCTTATCCTTGTTTATCTATAGGTAACTTTTTTTTTTTAGCACCCTGGCAGGTGTCTCAGTAGGTCTTATGTTCCCCAGATCCACTGACTCTGAGCCCAGTTAAGCACTTGGACTTCCCTATGGGTTGCAGCCCTTGTGTCCTAGACCACCTTTGAAGTTTTGTAGCGCCCCAGGACACTTTAGGCCACGGTAATGAGGCTTCCTGGAACTCAAGTTCCAATTGCGGAAATGGGCGATTCCTCTCTAGGCTGGTTTAAATGCTTCCTCTGTTGGTGCACATCAGCTGAGTTCAGCCTAGTTGTGCTTTCTGCTGTGACAGAATAGCAGTGAGTCAAAGGTAATATCTAACAATTGCTATGTTCTCTTTCTCCCAAGAGCACAGATTGTCTCTCTGTGCCATACAGCCACTGTTGCAGAATCGGGGAGGAGTGGTGATGGTGACTGAAGACTCTTTCCTACCTTCTTCCAATGCCTCTTTCAGTGATATGAAGTTACTTTGAGTGCTCCTCTGATTTTTTATTCTTATGATGGTGCTTTTTATGTGTAGTTAGTTGATACATTGGTTTTCTGGTGAGGGGAGGATTGGTGTGGAGCCTTCAGCCATCTTGCTTCTCAGCTGCCTTCATTGCTGACAACTAAGAAAAAGATTTCGGGAGCCTAAACTAGTGGGAGAGGGCCCTACATGATTCCTCCTCACTCACTCAAGTCCAGCCACATAAGCCTACTTGGTATTTCCATATTATATTATGCTTGCTGTTACCACAGGGCCTTTGCACTGGCTTCTTCCTGTGCATGGCAAATTTGCCTGATACCCACATGGCTAATCCCTTCCCCATCTACAACTCTTTGCTCAAAAAACCCTTCTGAAAATATCTATAAGTGACCACCTTTTAAAAAATCTCACCCTAGCCCACACCCAATTCTTAATCTTCATACCATCAGACACCTTAATTTTCTTTTCTATAACACTTGCCACTTTCTGACATGCAGATAAGATAATTATTTTATGTTTATTTGGCATTGTCTGCCTCACCTGCTCAAATTCAAACTTCATTCCATCAGGATCTTTGTGTTTTGGCCATTAGAAACCTTACACTTTCCTAAGCACATGGTAGACACAATGTCTATTTGTTCAATAGCAATTGAATGGATTCTTTAGGTGTTGATAAACTTTTCTCTTTTCTTGTTCTTTCTATACACGTTAAAATGAATTTTGCTTTTGGAAACACTGTTTGTATCTGTATATAAGACACATAACATAACTTTAAATTGCATTAATATTATATTAAAATTATTAAAGCTAGCATAAGTTGACCACTTTCATATATTCCAGTCATTTATATAGAAGGCTTATATGTAATAACTCATTTAATTCTCAAAACAATTGTATGTTAGATCCATATAGGCACTAGGCCTTCAGCTTTCCAGAGGACACTTGACAGAACCAGGATTGAAACCCAACTCATAGGTACTATGCAACATTGAGATACTTCCTAGGGCATTGGCAAGGAGCTACTACAATTTCTTTAAAGAGAAATGGTATTGAATATTTATAAAAACTCACATTTGTTAGGCAACAATACTTCGTTGTATACTGTATGAGCAGAAAGATAATTTAACATTTTTCTTGAGTCATGAATATATTCTTTTTTATATAAATACAATCGTAAGCTTCATTATCATTATTGGTTTTGAGCTATGAGATATTCCAATAGAGATATCCATTAAGCATCTGGAATTTTAATCTAGAGATTAGATTGGTGTAAGACTAATCTTATACCAATTAAAATTATTTATATTCCTATCACTATTTTAAAGACTCACACATTCAAGAATACATTCTTTTAGTTCTTTGAACACTTACTTATTCAATGGATATTTCTATTTTAAATTCTGGGATACATATGCAGGACGTGCAGGTTTGTTAAATAGGTAAATTTATGCTGTGGTGGTTTGCTGCACCTGTCAACCCATCACCTAGGTATTCAGACCCGCATTAGCTATTTATCCTGATCCTCTCCCTCCAACTAACCTCCCCCGACAACAGGCCCCAGTGTATGTTGTTCCCTTCCCTATGTCTGTGTGTTCTCATGTGGTGTTTGGTTTTCTGTTCTGGCATTAGTTTGCTGAGGATAATGGCTTCCAGCTCCATTCATATCCCTGCAAAGAGCATGATCTTGTTTCTTTTTATGGCTTCATCATATTCTGTGGTGTATATGTACCACAGTTTCTTTATCCAATCTATGATTGATGGGCACTTGGGTTGATTCCATGTCTTTGCTATTTATAATAGCACTACAATGAACACACACATGCATGCATCTTTAGAATAGAATGATTTATATTCATTTGGGTATATAGCCAGTAATCGGGATGCTGGGTCAAACAGTATTTCTGGTTCTAAGTCTTTTAGGAATCACCATACTGTCTTCCACAATGGTTGAACTAATTTACATTGCCACCAACAGTGTGAAAGGGTTCCTATTTCTCCACAGCCTCACCAGCATCTGTTGTTTCTTGACATTTTAATAATCACCATTCTGACTGGTTTTGATTTACATTTTTCTAATGATCAGTGATGTTAAACTTTTTTTCATATGTTGTTGACCACATAAATGTCTTCTTATGAGAAATGTCTGTTTATATCCTTTGCCCACTTTTTAATGGGGTTGTTGTTTTTTTCTTGTAAATTTGTTTAAGTTCCTTGTAGATTCTAGATATTTAGACCTTTGTCAGATAGATAGATTATAAAAAAGATTTTCTTTCATTCTGTAGGATGTCTCTCCATTTAATGTTAGGGTTTTTTTTGCTGTATAGAAGCTCTTTAGTTTAATTAGATCCCATTTGTCAATTTTTGCTTTTGTTGCAGTTGCTTTGGTGTTTTCATCTCGAAATCTTTGACAGTGCCTATTTCCTGAGTGGTATTGGCTAGGTTGTCTTCCAGGGTTTTTATAGTTTTGGTTCTTACATTTAAGTCTTTTATCCACTTTGAGTTAATTTTTGTATAAGGTGTAGGACGGGGTCCAGATTCAATTTTCAGCATATGGCTAGTCAGTTTTCCCAGCACCATTTATTAAATAGGGAATCATTTCCCCATTGTTTGTTTTTGCCAGGATTGTCAAAAAAATCAGATGGTTGTAGATATATAGTCTTATTTCTGAGATCTCCATTCTGTTCCATTTATCTATTGTCTGTTTTTGTACTAGTACCATGATTTCTGGTCACTGTAGCCTTGTAGTATATTTTGAAGTCAGGTAGCGTGATGCCTCAAGCTTTGTTTTCTTTTTGTTTAGGATTGCATAGGCTATACAGGCTCTTTTATGGTTCCATATGAATTTAAAAGTAGGTTTTTTTCTAATTTTGTGAAGAATGCCAATGGTAGTTTAATGGAAATAGCATTTAATCTATAAATTACTTTAGGCAGTATGGCCATTTTCATGATATTCATTCTTTCTATTCATGAGCATGGAATTTTTTTATTTGTTTGTGTCCTCTCTGATTTCCTCGAGGAGTGGTTTGTAGTTCTCCTTGAAGAAGTTCTTCACTTCCCTTGAGTGCTGTATTCCTAGGTATTTTATTTTCTTTGTAGCAATTGTGAATGGGAGTTCATTCATGATTTGGCTCTCTGCATTTCTACTGTTGGTGTATAGAAATGCTTGTGATTTTTGCTTGATTTTGTATTCTGAAACTTTGCTGAAGTTGCTTATCAGCTTAAGAAGCTTTTGGGCTGAGAACATGGGGTTTTCTAGATATAGGATCATGTCATCTGCAAACAAAAACAGTTCGACCTGATGTCAGTGGGAACATTCCTATATAAGGTGTCTGGCAACCCCTTTTGGGTGGTCTCACCCAATCAGGAGGCAAAGGATCAGGGACCTGCTTAATGAAGGATTCTGGCTGCCCCTTGGTGGAGGAGGTGTGCTATGCTGGAGGAATCCCATTCATCTGGACTGCCTGGATTTTTCAGAGCCAGCAGGGTGAAAGTCTGCTGATTTGCAGAGACAGCAGCTGCCCCTCCCAACAGGGGCTCAGGTTCCAGGGAGCTCAGAGTTCTATCACTAAAACCCTGGCTGGAGTTGCTAAAATTCCTGCAGGGAAGCCCCACCTGGTGAGGAGGGATGGGTCAGGGTCTGGCCTAAAGAGGCAGTCTGGCCACGATCTTCCACAACTGCTGTGCTGTGCTGTGGGGGACTCCTCCTTGGTCCAAACCATCCAGTCTCCCCAGCACCGGCAGAGAAAAAAACGACTGACTTGAGCTGCAGTGATGGCTGCTACCCGTCTCCCTGCCTAAGAGCTCAGTCATCTTAGGCAGGAAGCAGCCGCAGCCATGATGCCCATCCCTCCCCCTAGGAACTTGGTAGTCTTAGGCAGTCTTCAGCCAAGTGGCTGCCCAGAATCCGCACAGCTCTGTGCTTGGGACTCAAGGTCCTGGTGGCATGAGCTCATGAGGGGGCTCACCTGGTCCACAGATTGCAGAGATCTGTGGAAAAAGCATGATTTCCTGGGCAGGGTAGCACGATCACTCACCACCTCCCTTGGCTGGGGATGGGAGCTCCTCTGGCCTCATGTGGCTCCCAGGTGGGCCGTTGCACCACCCTGCTTCTCCTCACTCTCCAAGGCTCGCACCAACTGCCTAGTCAGTGCCAGTGAGAAAACCTGGATACCTCAGTTGCCAGTGTGGGATTCACTAATCATTTTCGTTCTTCTCAGTGGGAGCCTCTGACCACAGTTGTTTCTAGTCAGCCATCTTGGCCCCTCCTTCCCCAAATATTATTCCTAAAAATGGTTGTGTTTTCTTCATAAGCTAAACCAAGCAAAATAAAATAAAGTACTGTCTTTAATATTTTCATAAATAGGCTAATATTAAAATTATATTATGATTTAAGGCAATATTCAAATGAAAGATTCAGCCATAATCTGGTAAGGTTTCATTGATTGTTATAGATCAGACACCATTTTAAATTAGAAATCGGTGGCAATATTTTCTAAATCTTAAAATATTCACTCCTAAGGAAACTTAGATTGAAATCAAAGTGTTAATATAAAGGGGAAAATTCCCAAAAATCTTATAGAAAGTTCTTTAAGTTTATTTCTCACTGCTTATTTTTAACTAAGTTAAGGAATAGAATATTAAACCCCAGACAGAATCTATTCCTGGGGCTTTTAGGATCTACCTTAAGTTAAAATGCATTAATCACCTTCTGAGAAGTTCTTTTCTTACAAAATAGGACTATATTTTCAAGACCAGGGAACTTCACATAAAGTGTTGAGTTCTGAGACCCTTGTCTAATAATGTAATGCCTAAAATCAAATTTATTCGCTTGCTCTCAAAATCTCAAGAAATGATAGAAAAAGTGATATATGTTTGTCCTAATGCATAGTCTTTTCTGATTTAGCTATTCATATGAGAACTTGGTGGAAACGGTTGTTTTTAAAGTATGTGCATTATGGCTAAATGAAATCCCTGTTTAATCCAGAAACATGTTCTACAAGTTCTTCACATATGACTTATTTTAAACAAAGGAAAACATAATTGGTGACAAATGTTCAAAAGACAATGAAATAAGAAACAGTAGACAAGTTCAAAAATACCAAGGCAGGACAATGTATGCAGCAAACAACTTTACAACATCGTTATAATGATAGCTTATTAAAAATATTGCTGATATTAAGTCACACATTTTTTATTCATATGGTTTTAAAAAATGCATTAGACTTATCAGGGATATAGAAAGATATGTGGAGAATAAAAGATAGGTTTATTTACTTAAATAGTAGAAATTATATGCAGAGATTATATATTATGCCCCATGCCCCATTAAAATACATTTTTTTGAAAGTTTCCATTTCCTTCTTTCAGTAGAGACAGAGAGAATAGGGGCAGGGAAGAGAGAACAGTTAAATGCAACAAAAACCTTATTTTTTTTTTATGAGCACAATTTTTTTTAGTGCTGTTTTAACCTGAGTTCTGAAGAAAACTAAGTTTCATAAAGCAGTGAAACAGATGTGTCTTATTTTGAGTTTCCCCTAGAACAAAGTATTTTAAAAGGACCATAGTGATGGTAATTTTATTTAGGCGACAATCCCAGGAAGAAGATACGAAGAGTAGAGAAAGTAAGACAAGAAAACAAGAAAAGCCAATGCAGGGTTTTGAGGAGCGGGAATGTTGCTGTGGGGAGCAGGGGCTCAGTTCTGTTGGGATCCTCTAAGAAACCATGCGGAGTGAGTCACAAAATTACCTTTTTGGCTCCTATTTCCACCAAGATTTAGAAACCTGGAAAGATAGTTATTACTATCCTAACAACCAGAAAAAGGCTGAAAAACTACAAAATTATACGTTTTCTTTGACTCATCAGTTTGCCGAGGCTGCAGAGCAGTCAAGTAGGCTGCAGTGTTTCTAAACACAAAGCTTGGCTCCTCCAAGGAGAGGGGAAACACAAGCACTGGTTTACCTTGGCAGAACATGAGCCAAAGAAACAAGTGCCGTATCAGTAGATAAAAAGGACTTAGCTAAATAATTAAAAATGTGCTAAAGATTGAAAGTGGCCTAGCAGAAGAATATAGAAACCGTTTAAGCTTCTGATACAAAAGGAGTGAGGTTCCCTGTGCAGACTTTCTACAGACTGCTACCAGGGCTCAAGAGAATGACTGGAGGTAGGGCAGGGAACTGAAGAAAACTTTCCTGTGGCACAGGGCTGAAAAACAGAAGGGGATGCCACAAAAGGAAAGACAAATTGCTGAAGACAGTTTTTTGCTACACAAGAAATCATTAAGCCACTGAGGAAGGACAGCACTCTCTGTGAGCACACATGAAGATTCCTTGTGGCCAGGGGAAGGGAACTAAAGACGAGAGAAGTTGAAACCAAACATTGTTACCACAAGCAGAGAGGCAAGAAAGGATCCTGGGCTGAGGATCTTCTGTAAGTAACCTTAGAGATTTCCTACTCCTGCAGGGAAAAGCAAGAAACCTTCCTCTATACCAGACTTACCAAAAAAGGCAAAATTTGGCTCCCATGAGAGGAAGGGCAGTGTATTAGTCTATTGTGCATGGCTGTAAAGGAACACCTGAGACTCGGTAATTTATGAAGAAAACAGGTTTATTTGGCTCATGGTTCTGCAGGCTGTATAAGAAGGATGGGGCCAGCATCTGCCTCTGGTGAAGGCCCCAGGAAGCGTACAGTCATGGTAAAAAGCAAAGCAGGAGCCAGTGTGTCACATTGCAAGAGAGGGAGCAAGTGACATGCCAGGCTCTTTTCAAATAACCAGCTGTTACATAGACTCACTATCACTAGGAGGGCACCAAGCCATTCGTGAAAGATCTGCTTCCATGATCCAAACACCTCCCACTAGGCCTCACCTCCAACATTGGAAATCACCTTTCAACATGAAATTTAGAAGGTGAAATATCCAAACTATATCAGGCAGTGTCACTGAAAAAGCCATATCCCTGAGACTGAGGCATACAGGTCATGCCAATGACCTAGATTAGACCAGGACAACAAAGAGCCCATGTGACTCCCCAGCGTGCTAGTAAATGTGGCCATATGACATGGCAGCAGTCTATCACTGGTGGAGAGGCAAGTACATGGAGCTTGCCTTGGATGCATCGGTACACAGGGAAGGTTAAAGGTTCACAATGAGACAACAGCATTGAAGGAAAAACCTGCAGCAATCAAGCCTCCATCCTAACCACAGGTAATGCTGGAAAAACTGATAGTGGATGCATAGAAGTTAACTGTCTCCACTCAAATATCAAAGCCAGCTCAACTCTGGAATAGACTGATTCAGTAACGCACATTAAAAATCTAGGAGAGGAAGAGATACACCCATTTTCATGCACAGATGCTGCATAATTCAGTCTCCATTGTTTTTCACACAATATCCATCATTTAATAAAAAAATTATGAGACAAACACAAAAAAGCAAGAAAATGAACAGCCCACTGTCAAAAGACAGACCATAAACACATACTCAGAGAAGAGCCAGATGTTGAATATATTAGGTATGTTAAAAATAATAGTGGCTAATATGTAAAGGGGTCTAGTGTGAAGGATGGAGAGTCGCTATCCATCGATGAAATATTCAGGAGAGAGATGGTAAATATGAGAGAGAGTCAATGGAAATACTAAAAATAGCAAACGGTACAGTGACAAAGAATGCCACTGACAGGCTCATCAGTAGACTTTAAGGCACCTAGGAAAGAATCAGTGTACTTGAAGACAGGTCAGTATTAATTATCCAAACTGAAACACAAAATGAAAAAACGATGAACAATTACAAGAACAGAACACCCAAGAGTTGTAAGACAGTATCAGTCATTCTACCATGACTGCAATTAGAATCCAAGAAGGATAAAAAAAAAAAAAAAAGAAAAGAAAAGAAAAGAAAATGGATTAAAGAAATATTTGAAGAGATAGTGGCCAGAATTTTCCAAAATAATGTCAGGCACCATATTACAGATCTGAAAAGCTCGGAGGACACCATGCAAGATAAATATCACCACCACCACCACCACAAAGCCCTGAGTACATTATATTAAAACTGCCAAACACAAAAGATAGAGACAATTTTGAAGCCAGGCACAGGGAAAAAAATTACATGAAGATAAACAGGGATTAGAATTACAACAGTTGGGCCAGGCACAGTGGCTCACGCCTGTAATCCCAGCACTTTGGGGGGTCTAGGTGGGTGGATCACCTGAAGTCAGGAGTTCAAGACCAGCCTGGCCAACATGGTCAAACCCCATCTCTACTAAAAACAAAAAATTAGCTGGGCCTGGTGGCAGGAGCCTGTAATCCCAGCTACTCGGGAGGCTGAGGCAGGAGAACCACTTGAACCCAGGAAATGGAGGTTGCAGTGAGCCATTGCATTCCAGCCTGGGCGACAAGAGCAAAACCCTGTCTCGAAAAAAAAAAAAAGAATTACAACAATCTTCTTTTCTTATCAGAAGCCATGAAGGCCAGAAGACAATGGAGTTGATCCTGGACCAACAAGAATACACTAAGAAGACAACCAGTAGGGTCTGTGTAAGATCTGTAGATAATTTAAGAATACTGTACAAACAATAATGTCTTGGTTTCAAAAGTTGTACTGCAGTTCTGAGGAATGTTAACAACCAAAAAAGGTGGATAAGGGTAAACAGGAACTCCCTGGGCTATTTACAATTTTATGTAAGTTTGAAATTACTGTAAAATAAAAATTTGAAAATAAAAAATTAAAACTCTTAAATGTAAAGAAAGAATGGGCTGCTGACATGATAATCTGAGTGAAACTCAGAACATGATTTTTAGTGAAAGAAGCCAGAACCACACAGATACACATTTTATAATTTTATGTAAATAAAGTTCAAGAGTAGTAGCTAAAGCTAATTTATATTGATAGAAATCAGAAAAATGTTTACATTTGTGGTTGTGGCTTTTCACCAGATACAAATACCTTTCCCTGTGGCTCTCTGCTGCAATGTTTTCCTTCTCCTATACCAAAAGAATAGAACATTTTCTCTTAAGAAGAGAAAAAACAGAGACTATTAAAATGAGGCCACCAGCATAGTTGAAGGCATAGATATTATGCTTAAAGTAGAGAAATTAGGGAACTCTAAATAAGCTGTATATTGAGTCTCCTTCTACTCCACAGCCTTCTTTCTCCACTGAGCCTCTGGAACAACATACACACAATCTTTACTCTGCAGTCAAGAGATTGAAAGTGTACTTTCTGAGGAACATTAGCAGCTCAATAGGAAAGAGTTAAAGACATAGACACTGGAGATTTCCTAATAATTCTCCTACCCAGATCTGCCTGCACTGAGCCTTAACTTTAACTGGCACCTTCAAACCACCTACATACCCATAAAAAGAGAGAGAGAGAAAAAAAAAAGCTTTCAAACATCGGCAGTTTAGTCTTTCAGCTTTGATCATAGACATAAAACCAAGTCTTACCAAACATCTAAGGGAAGCTTGTAACAAAAAAATACCATGACCAAACCATATGACTGGGGCGGGTGCGGGGGGTGCTTGTATGAGTATCCATAATTATCATTATTAGTAAATAATGCTTCCGTAAAACAGAAACAATGCTATGAGAAAACTATGCAGAAGATAGAGGAGGTCATGAATAAATGTGATAAATGAAATTTAAAACTCAGTAGAAGTTTTGAAATGTAATGTTTAGGAAATCTCTCAGAAAATAGAACCAAATAACTAAGATATGAATAATAGCATCAAACAGATAAGAAGATAGGAGGAATAGTCCTTCAGGTCCATTCTCTTGATAACAGAATTTCCAGCATTAAATAATAGAGAAAATCAAGGGACAAAAATCATCAGTGAAAAAATTCACTGAGAACTATATGACATTAGTTTTCACATTAAAAGTCCCTGTCAGGCCGGGCACGGTGGCTCATGCCTGTAATCCCAGCCCTTTGGGAGGCCGAGGCAGGCGAATCACTTGAGGTCAGGAGTTCAAGACCTGTCTGGCCAACATGGAGAAACCCAGTCTCTACTAAAAATACAATAATTAGTCAGGCATGGTGGTGCATGCCTGTAATTCCAGCTACTCGGGTCGCTGAGGCAGGAGAATCGCGTGAACCCAGGAGGCAGCGGTTGCAGTGAGCTGAGATCATGCCACTGCACTCCAGCCTGGGGGAAAGAGCAAGACACCGTCTCAAAATAAATAAAATAAAGTAATAAATAAATACTAAAAGCCCCCGTAAAGTCCCCAGGCTGATGGATTAATATAAATCCTAATAAAGGTGTTTCAGTGCAAAATATCAGAGAACTTGAGACAAAGAAAATCTACGACCCATGGAGGTAGGGACACTGTTTTCTCATCTGCTGAAAGCTCAATGGGAAAAGAAGTAGGAAAATGGTTTCATGAATATCAAAGAAATTGTCTTCAAAGCTAAGAAAGGAGGTTCTCAGTGTCAAATAGTACTGAAGAATAAGTAAGATAAATTAACCAGGTGAGGAGTGTTCCAGACACAGGGAGGCAATAGAATGTATGAGTGTTCCAAACAAAAAACAGTCTATCATTTTCAAGAAATCTAAAAAGCTTCCTGGAGAATTGAACCTAGTGAGAAAAAGGATGAGCTACAAGATCATGGCAAGCCTTGTGGCCCAGGTTAAGGGAGACTGTGTGTTCCCATTAAAGGTTTTTGAGCAGGATAAACAATTGATAAAATCTTCCTTTTGAGATCACTTGGGTTGTTTTAGGGAAAGTGAATTGGAAGGTTCACAAATACATGTTTAAAAGACTATTTCAATAGTTATGGGTAAAAATGGTGGCAGCGTGAACTACAGTGGTAGCCACATAAATAAATAGATTTGGTTTTAAAATATTCTGTAAGTAGTATAGTAGTGACATTATTTGGTGATAGATTTAATTTTAAAAGTGAAGAAGAAAAATAAAACAGAGTGACCCCGTTTTTTTTTTCTTCCAAAATCAACACAGTTGATTATTTTGCCCTTTTTTAAGACATTGGAGACAAGAAGATAATTTGGGAGTTATTTTGTTTTGTTTTTGTTTTGCAAGGTGATTATTTTCATTTTTGTGTATATTAGCTCTGAAGTATTTATGTGCAATGCTTTTAAATAATCTTTCAATATATGGTTTTAAAAGTTTGAGGATAGTGATAAAATATAGATGTTTGGGAGTCACAATACACAAAACAACAAATGAAATTCCAAGGGAAAGAAAATATAGTGGGAAGAATGCAGTCCCTAGGATGTTACTCTGAGGAATTCCAACATTTAGAAGTCAGAAATTCCAAAATTTGTGAAGAAAAACTGTAAACACAGCCAATAGCTAGCTTCAAAATCATGTCATTAAATAACCATTGTTAATGTGGGACAAGAAGAATCTTACAGGGATACAGCAGTTGTCTTTAAATAGTAATGTCTAATGTCAAGAGAAGATAAATTATACATACCTAGGATTAAAAGCAGGATCAATGAGTCAGTGTAACAAAATCTTATTTGCATTCCATATGAAAACAAGCTAACAATTTTTCAGAGAACTGATATTATGATTTGGGAAATCTTAAGTTCCCTATCATTGATTCTACTCTACTATTTGACTACATAGTAGAAAAGATGGTCTTGTGATTCAAGTCTGAGTGTTAAAACAGATTAATTTCAAGATAACTTCCATATCTAGGAGTCATATTCTATGAAACATGATTCTTGCAAGAAAGAAGCATCTTCAGTTATTTCCTTATATTGAATGAATTAGGTATGCACCTGTTAATTAGGACGTCACACTAAATTAATGATACTGGTTTATTTTCAAAAACTAATATTTATTTAAATATAATATTTAAAATATACTTTGCAAGAAATATTTGCTCATTTGTAATCCAAATAATGCTCAGAGCAAAAAGAAAATGTAAAACTCAGTGACACAATAGAAAGTCCATTAGTTTGAAAACTGCATTTGTTTTTTATCCACAGTTGCTTGATGGATATATGTTTTGGTCTGCAATTCAATGGTTTCTTTATATTTGGACTATTAACAGAGATAAACAAAAAGTATTCATGGAGAATAAAGCAATATTAAGTGATATTGTGTCTCTATTAATTTGATAAATTTATATGCTCAAGTTAGTTATAGCATTAAACTACATATAATACCCTGAATTTTTGTTACATCCCTCTCAGGATCCACTCTTCAAGTGATTCAAAATTAACATAAATTTATAAATATATCCTGTAAAACAAACAAAGACAGTAGATGAAATTGATCATTTGAAAAAAATATGAAATAAACCCTCCCAAGTACAAATATGTATCTACACTTTGTCATATTATTTTCTAGACTTAGTACTCAATTTCAGAATTAACTCAAAATACGTAAAATGCATCTTTTCATAACCACCAAATCTAATAAAGCCTTACTTTTTTGAGAATTGATTATCATCCTCAATTTGCCCAGGATTGTATTGGCACGAGCAACTCCCATCCATTATCACTGATGAAATCACCAAGTGATAATGTAATTCAGATGTTTTTCAGAAACAGATAATAGATTTAAAGGTTTGATTTTTGTCTGTAAGTGTAGGTATACATGTAACCAAAATTTGCCAAACAATTGTCTTTTAAATATAAAATTGATGAATGATACTTAGTGGGAATTATTTTTTTAACTCTTGCTTGGTTTTATACAGCAAATAAATTTTAGAAAATATGTCTTTCCTAAACCTCTTTTTCTGGCAGTTGTCTTCCTTAGTGGTGGTTCTCAAAGAACAGTCCTTTTGTACAATATATCCTTGGTCTTATTTGGCCAGTACACAAATGGACAAATATTTAAGTTGGCTAAGTCACAGTCCTTCCACCAGGTCTCATAAGAGAGAATGGCAAAGCCAAGTCCCCAGAAAGATTCTTCACATCTTCAGATCATTGGTTTTAGAAGCTCCTGAGGGACATGCCATCACTGACATTTTTGAAAATGTCTTAATGCATCTCAATAAGATTTCAGTAATTTATCCCTTTATTTTGGGTTTCCAACTGAATCAGTTAACTTTTTCTGCTTGACAAACACTGCAAACACTTATTGGCTTAAAACAACAATTTTCCATTGCTTAGAATTTCATGAGTCAACTGACCAGGTCTGCTGATCTGAAGTTACTTTGACTCCACTGATATTGGCTAGGCACCCTCATGTATTTCTAGTCATTTGCTAGGCTGTGTAAAATGGCTAGACTAGGACAGCTCTAGGAGTATGGCTTGTCTCTGTTTTGCATGGTCTCCCAACCTAAGAAAGCCGGTTTAGGATTATTTACACTGCCCCGGGGTAGGGTTCAAGGAGAAGGAAGGGGGAAAAAAACAAAACAACCCAAGACCTCCTGAAATCTAGGTGTGAAACTTGCACACTGTTACTCTGCCACCATTCTCTTGGCAAAGGAAGTCAAAAGGTCATCCCAGATCCAAGGAGTGCAGAAATAAACTCTTTTTAATTAAAAGAGCTACGAAACTACAGTGCAAAGGGGCATGGTTTGGGAGTGGTGGTGAAGTGTAGCCATTTTTGTAATCCACCACTCAATCAATTACAGTCTAACTTATATTGACTAACATAAGAGAATATATTCCTAAAAAGGAAGATTCTCTCAGCTGACTCAGGCTCACTTCAGTGAGAGTTTACCAACAGTGGGGGTTTAGTAAATCCTCATTTAATTAAATTATTAGATGACGATAGAAACCCTTTTGGTATCACTGTTTTATCTGATAATCACAATAAAAATTTTGTTGCAAAAATAAATCTACTGAAAATGACTAATATGAATCGTTAATTAGGATTAATAGCATTATTGGTTAATTGAGCTTTACCAAATTGTGTTAGGCTATTAAAAAGGCAATTCTTGCCCCTTATATAGATGTGAGGAACATAATTATCACCAATATTAAAAGAGCAACATGAAGCTTTTGTTTAATAAAGTGCTTAACCCTAAAATACACAGAGAAAGCAAGAACAGTTAAACTTTAGGGTATTAAATACATGAAGAAGAGATGGAATGAGTAGATAGGGGAATTACAGAACTATTTCTTCATTAGTCAATTGGAGAAGGTAACAGTGAAGACATCTTCCCCATAATGATGTCCCATCACCATAAAGGGAAGATAAAGTAGGTAATATAATACATTTGAGTTGTGTTTTTATCTACTGTAGTACTAATTTTCATTTTGATTTGGATGAGAGAGATGGGAGTCTGACTTAGTTGAATTTTAAAATATATGTAAAATTATTTTATAGAACCTTTATTCCATCTGTAAAAATGTATAGTTCTTCAAAATAAAATATGACTTCATAATCCTACTATTATAATTAAGAAATGTTAATAAGCTCTTATAAAGAACAATGCTGTGTACCCTAGTCGTGAAGTCTTCTGAAATGCATTCTCTGGATTGAAGAATAAATCTAACCCAAACTTAAATATTTTTAAGTATTAATACGCCCCTGCAAAAGCCACCGCCTACCTCTGACCCCATTTATGTGAAGGTTCTTATGAGGGTTTTCCCTACCATCTGCTGTGATTTATCTCCTCTAATGTTCTCTTGAACTCATTCTGCTTAAACTTTTACTCTCATCACTAAATTGAAACGATTGTTGTCAGGGCTGCTAAATCCAAGGCTCAGTGTTCAGCCCTCATCTTAATTGGTCTCTCAGTGCCACGTGATAGAGTTGATTAATTCCTCCCTCTTGAACTTCTTCCTAATTTTGGTGACTAGGTGAATACATTTTTGTTGGTGTTCATCAAATCTCACTGACTCTGACTTCTCATGCTTTTTTTTTTTTTTTTCTCAGACCACCTTCTCTTTCCAAACTCTTCCATTCAGCCTTCAAATCTAGTATGGTCTCCATTTAAACTCCCTATTCAAATATATCCAGACATGTCTTTAACACCATCTACATGCTGAGAATTCCCAGTTTTATATTTCACTGTATTCTGCCCTGCAGCTGTCTTTTATAAATTTTTCCCACATGATATGTCTACATAAATGTCCTATAGCCCTCTCAAAACTAACGTGGCTAAAATTAAATGTTTGACTTATAAACAAATTCGTGGAAGTCTTGAAGAGAAATGAGTCACCTTGGATTAAGTTACTAGAAGTGAAACATGAGGTTTGTCAGATTTGAGATATATTTTGAAGGCAGAGCCAACAGAATTTGCTAAAGTTTAGTTGTCGTGGGAGAGAGTAAAATGAGTAGAAATGCTTTATATTTTGTCTGAACAAACAGTGAATGGGAGTGTCGTTCATGTCATAGTTTAGGGGTGGTGATTGTGTGTTGTCAGCCCTAGACATATCAGAAAATATAATTTAATGCATATGCATACCACTGTGTATATTGGACTTAAATTTAACAGTAATCTATGCATTCAATTGTACGAGAAATATTCACTGAAGGCTTACCCTGAGCCATGCCATAGTGAAATTGTTGGAGATAGCACAATAAAAAAAAAAGAAATATTAAACAAAACTTGCTGTTATGGTACTTAGCTTTTAATGAAGGTAGGAAAAACAAAGCAAAGAAACAAAAACAAGAAATTGAGATGTACATAGACTTAAGAGCTCAATGACAAGTGCGAAATGAGGGTGTACCGTGTCATGGTGGGAAGGACAAGGATTACTTTAGTCAAGGTGGTCAGGGAAGGCCTCTCTCCAGAGATGACAGGGCAAAAATTTCGGGGTAGCATGTTCCAGGAAGGAGCAGCAGCAAGTGATGAGGCCTAAAAGATGGGGGGAAAGGTAAATTGTCTCAGGAATAATAATAAAAAAATGTTGGTACGACTGGAAGATGGTGTCAGTGAGTGGATGCCTCCTCTGGCATCAGATATCTACACAGGGGGCAGTCATGTTGAGCCCTGGGGAGCAAGGAGAGGGAACTTTATTCTCAGCGAAATGGGAAGTCACTAAAGGGTTTTAGGTAGAGGATTGACTGATTGTACATTGATTTTACCAGGAATAATGTGATACTCTCTGAATTTAAGGGGGCCAAGAATGGCAGTAGGAAGAAAATTTGGAAGCACTGTGGCACTTGTGGAGGTATCTGTGGCTTGCTTCAGTGTGCCCTGGCAGAATGTATATGTTCACAAATATGAATATGTGGAATTATAAGAGTTATCAATAAACATTTATCTAGCTTTCCATTTTTTGAGAAAGGTTTAAACTTTGTTCCAATTTGTTTATTTGCTCAATAAAGATTTGTTGAACATCTACTTGGTGCCAGCGCTATAGTCACTGTTAATCAATTTACAAAGTTCAGCAATACTATAACTGGCAAAGTTTTGACTATAAAGCAACCATTTGTTTTTCACTGATTATAAGAAATCGGCATAATGTAATCCTTTCCTCTTTTTACTGGTAAGAGCTAGCAACAATTTTCTTAGCAAGAGCTAAGTTACTTTATCTCATTATTTTACCAATATATATAATTGTGCCTTCTTAAATCAATGGCAAACATTTTATTTCCATAACAGTTTTATTAGCAGTTTGTGCTATTTTGTTGGAGATATAAGACATGTAGGCTATTATGCAAGCTCTAGATGCCAGTGAAGGCTAGTATGAATTCTTCTTAACAGTGGGCTTTACAGTCAAGATATAAAGACATAGCAATATTTGTCTCTCCCATCAACCATTATTTATTTCAAAGCTGTGCAAAGAATGTTTTAGAACAAAAGGATAGACAAAGAAGAAAAATTTCAAGAATCGAAATAACTGCTTTTTACTTGCTAGGATTTGATAAATTGCTTGAAGTCTCTATTGCACTGCAGTTTTGATTTGCAGTCTGACTAATAAAAAATAGGCAATTTTACCGAAATGTAAACTCCGTAACTTTTACATTTACTCTTAATGGAAATGAAAATAGTATCATTTATCGTTGATACAGTTTTGCATTATATTAAGGCTTTTGGCTCATTTATTTTCCGGATACTATTATGTTCAGTGATGAAGTCATCACTTACCATTACCTTTTTTTTTTTTTTTTTTTTAACTTCCACTAACTTAGTTCAAACTCTCATCTTGTCTCAAGTAGGTATTGCCATATCCTAACCTAGGGTCTTGAAGCCTCATGTTCCATAGCACTTCCAGAACAAATGTTACTGAGTGTGACAGTAGGCAAAATAATTGTCCCCCAAAAGATATCCACCTCTTAATCCCTGGAACCTGTGAATATGTGTTTTGTGGCAAAGAGGAATTAAGTTTGCAAATGCAATTGAGTTTGCTAATCACCTGACCTTGAGATGGGGGAGATATCTCAGATTATTCAGCTGGTTCCAATGTAATCACAAGGGCCCTTGGAAGTGCAAGGAATAAGGAATAGTGTCAGAGTGGTGTGCTATGTAAAAGACTCTTTCAGCCATTTTTTACTTTGAATAATAAAAAGCACATGAGTCAAGAAATGTAGTCAGCCTGTAGAAGCTGAAAAAGGTAAATAAAAAAATAAATAAATAAAAATAGAAGAAGATTCTCCCTTAAAGCTTTCAGAAGGAATGCAGCCCTGGCAACACCTTGCTTTTAGCCATTTCAGACCCATTTCAGAATTCGGATCTCCAGGACAATACAATAAATAAATGTATGGTGTTTTAAACCACCAGATTTGTGGTAATTTGATACAACAGCAATAGGAAACTAATAGAAATGCAAATCTAGGTGTCATACCCCGATTTAAATTTTTTTAATGGCTCCTCATTTCACATATGATTAAGGAAATAGAGTGCTATTAGACACATAACAATTGGATCTCTGGGCTAAAAAGCCCTGGTTTGTAGTGTTTGCCAATTCTTGTAGTATAATTACTCCAGTTATGTTGAATTTCAAGCTACCAACATTACCTAATTAAAGGCCAATTTGGAAAGACATGCACAGAGTTGAATTTCACAAGCTGGTACAAGCAAACTGCTAGACAAATTCCATTCCTAGTGATGTGGCTTTTAAGACCGTCTTTATTCTAACTCTAAGTTGGCAACTGCAGTTCACACATCTTTCCCTGGTCTCTCTCATGTTCTTTGAATACACTGGCTTTTTCCCTGGGATACCTTTTTTTGTCTGTCCTTTGGAATTTCGCTAATTATTTATAAATCAGCATAAGTGATGCCTCCTTTGTGAAGCCTTCTCTAACCATTTTATCCCCTACTCTCATTCAGAATTCAAAACAGCATAGAGATGCTAGATGCCTTTTTTTCTGCTGCCTATAAAGTGCCTTGTTGATTCTTTTACTGTAAAATTAATTCCAAACTGTAGTGATTTATTTTAGTCTCCTTCCCCTGGTGTATTGCAACTCTCTAGCAGGAATGTCTGTTTTGATTTTGTTTAACTTAAAATGTATAATACCTATCATAACTATAGGCCCAGAATAGATACCTAAAAGTGTTTGTTGTATAAAAAGTAGTCATGTGTGTTAAGCTCACACTGTCAGTATACAAGAGAGATTAAAAAAAAAAGTAGCTCCACTTGAGAGAGAAACGCTTACCATAGAGAAGCCAGATTTCAGTTTAATAAAGAATATGAAAGGATTAAAACAGATTGCATTTGAAGGGAGTAGTTCTGGTAAATGAACAAAGGTTAAGCCACAAAGGTTTCTCAATTATCTCTTTGGTGCCCAACACTATGGCAATGTAGATGTAGCAGATACTGCCCTCATGTAGTCTATGATATTGAATATAAACTAGCTTAGTGAAAAATTTAGTTTTATGTTGTTTGCAAGGGCAACATCTAAAAAATAGATAAAACATACAAATTAAAATAGGGAATTTTTTTAGAATTGGCAAATAAAAATGAAAGCCAGTATAGCAATGCTGATATCATAATATGAAACTTAAAGTGAAGATTAGAAATAAAAGAATCACAACAAAAACACTCGATAACAAAAATGACCTTTTAAATAGTTCAACTAACAAAATGAAATATACAGAGCAAAAGCTGCTGATTTTATTAGAATTTATTAGTAGCTTTACTCATTGGGAAACATGAGTGCATCTCTAACAATCTTACAAATTAAGAAGGAAAGGAAAAATGAAGAAAGAGAAGAAAGGAAGAAAGAAAAGAAGAAGGAAAGGAAAGGAAGAAGGAAAGAAAGGAAAAACAGATAGAATAAAGTAGGTCAGTTCCTGTAAAATGTGAGATAGGTACATGGGCAGATCTTCTACTGAAAACAACCCAAAATCCTAAGCAAAACATCTTTAAAATTTCATTTTTAGGAAAACATTTATAATCTAGTAACAAAGTAAGGCCTTATACTTAATGGTATCATTTGTTGAACATACAATATGTTGGATTATTGTTCATTTATTTAATCATTTGTTGTACACAATTGTTTTTATTATTAATCAGAGTACACCTAAGGGTCCACAGACATCACTATTATCCAGTTAGAACCTAGAACTTCATGATAAATAACAGAAAATAATTACATATTGTGGAACTCATTAGTCCATGGGATCTTTTTAACTACCTCCACTATCTTTTCATTTAAGAGCCCAGATTTTCCAATGTTGAGATCAATTATTATTTTGATAACACTTCGAACTGGATAATCCATATTGATTAACGGAAGGGAGAAATCTTACTGACCAAGACCTCTTTTAGCAGCCTACTTCTAAATGGCACACTCATTAGAATTGAAAGAAGAATCAATAGAGCAAAGGAAATTTACAGATAGTGGCCATGAAATCTCCTACTATTCATTATTTTCTTGATTGTCTTTTCTGGAATGCTTGTGGTAAGGATCTTGGTCTCTGTTATTTCGAGAGAGAGAATTTTTAAAAATAATTTTCTATTTTAAGGTTCATCCCTTTATCCATCGTTATTAACTTAACAAGCATTAACATGTACTTACTACTTACTAGGAACATTTGTAAGAGCTCTACAGACAGTAATTCATTTAATCCTCTTAATGCCTCACAATAATAGCATCCTAAATTGATACATGAGAAGCTGAGGCACAGATAGATAGGGTAACTCTCTTATAAAACACAGCTAATCTGGATCACACAGCTAATAAGTGACAGAGATAAAATTTGAATCCAGATATCCTATCTCCACAGTCTGTATTTACTATGCTATGCTGATTTATCAGTTCATTTTATAAGGATAACAGTTAATTATGTTATTTTTAAATGTTTATATTGATTAACATATTTTAGCTGGGAAGTTTCTGGTCGGGGCACTTTTTGTTGCAAGAACCAAAAATCCACATTTGCCAGATAAGACAAGAAAAGAAATGCGCCCCAAATATCTAACCAAATTTACCTGATACCAGAGCACAGTTTTCACGCAAGTCCTGCAAGTGACTGATTCCCACTCTTTCACTTTCTCTGTAGGTTATTATTGTTTTTTCATATTTGCTTTTCTTGGTTTCTGCTTCATTTAATTCTTTCTGTACAAGCTCCCTCAGTGTGATGTTATTTGTGATTTCCCAATTAGCCTGACTTCCAGATCTTTTTGGCAGAATTATCCAGGTTTCACATTTATGTTAGATATTTCATAACTCTGTGCACCACAATATAAAGAGACAGCTACATTTTTTGTGTGTGTTGGGTTATCTGTGATTAGGATGCCACTCTGACCACCATTTCCGTCCACGCCTGGACACTCTTCCCTGTTTAGTTCTGAGTTAGATATTTCCATTGACGGGAATTTCCTGGAGATTTGGAAGGTGGAAGTAAAACGTAATTCCTGTAAGGCCATGGGTGTTAGACCCAGAAGCTTCATTAGTGGTTTAACTTTGATGTTTATTCCACAAATTCCCTTAATGTAAAGTCAGCAGCTTCTCAGACTATCTCCTAGCTTCCAGTCTGCCTTGTGGAGAGCATTTCAGATTTTCCCATGAACTCCTTTTGTCTCACATGCACTCCTGGTCCATGCAAAACAGAGACAAGCCATACTCCTAAAGCTGTCCTAGTCTGGTCCAAGATCTACACGTATGTAGATCTACATGAGTGTAGACTTTGGGAAGCAACTACCCAGATCTGCAGGAGTATCTTTCCTAATTTTCTTTTCTCCAGTTCTTCTAACAGTTGCCAAAAGTCATGGTTTCATTTAAGCCCTTTTTAACATGAAAATATATATTTGTTTCCTGAATAGACCTTTAGTGATATATCCTTGTAATGTATTATGCCAGTTTCATTTTCACATGCAATATTTATTTAAAATAATGGAACAATAGAGCCAATGATGTAATTTAAAATATACTGGTTATCCTTAGGAGAATGTCATGTACCTAAGGTGTTTTTTTTTTTTCTGCTTTATCTCTAACAATATTTTAATGGCTTAAAATACCTACATTACCATGTATGGATATAATAGTACTTCTGCTTGAATGCATTTTTAGATAACTCAATTATGGAAAATAGAGACTACTAATCCTTAAGAGAACACTAATGCCAGTGTCCCCTGAAATTAATGCACATAGAGTAGACCCGTGTTATTAAGAAGGAATTTAAATTTTTTCCGACTGGATTTAAAATCTCCCTTCATGGCCAGAAACAGAAAAGAAGAGAAAGGCATGAAAATATAGAATGCTACTTGTTAAGGGAAATACAATACATTAAAAATTTCTGAGCCTGCATACCTAAGTAAAACTGTATTAAAAGATCAATATAGTTGGCTATGCTTGTCTTTTCGGTCCTACAGGTTTTTTTCTGCAATAACACTTTCAACTCTTAATGAAAAAGGTATCTATATAAAATAAAAAGATAATCAAACCAGAAAGTAAATCTAAGTCAAGCTTACTTCATAGAGATTTTAATGATATGACCAGAAGATGAATGAGAAGACAGACAAAAGTTAAATGGCCCCAGTATGTTGGGTGCTAATAATTACTCCCTTCTTCATCACTTTTATAAGAAATTGCATACAGAGGAAATAAATATGAGGAAGAGATAATGCCACTCGAACCAGTTTCAAAAATACTAGGCTTCAAAATTAAAGCAATTGTCTTAATGCAATCACTATTTTAAATATTTAAGAAGACAATTTTTCTAACTTTATGAATTTGTTAAATTCTAAAACTAAATTCAGGATTTCAAAATGAGAATGTTTTATTTTCATACTATATCTATAAAATTACTAAGTAAATGTTCAATAATATTCTCATTTTATCTTCATAATGTATTGCTTGAACCCCGGAAGTGGTTGAAAGAGAGAGAGAGAGAGAGAGAGAGAGAGACAGAGAGAAAGAGAGACAGAGAGAGAGATAAATTTTAAGCAATTATTTTAAGCAATTAACTTGCATGATTCTGGAGGCTGATGAATCGAAGATTTGTAGGACAGGCCAGTACTGGAAGCTCAGGAAGGGTTTCTATTACAACCTTGAAGCTGGATACCTCCTTTTCTGGCAAACCTTAATTTTTGCTCTCACAATCTTCAACTGATTGGATAAGGCTCACCTATGTTATGAAGAATAATCCTCATTATAAAGAGTAAAGTCAACTGATTGGAAATGGTAATCATATCTACAAAATACTTTTACAGCAACATCCAGACTAGTGTTTTACCAAGAACTGGGCATAAAATAGTGTTTAAAGATATATGTATAAAAGACATTTTTAAGAGTGCTAGTTCAGCAAAAGAGACTATCAACAGAGTAAACAGGCAACCCACAGAACGGGAGAAAACATTCACAAACTATGAATCTGTCAAAGGTCTGATATCCTGAATCTATAAGGAACTTGAACAATTCAACAAGCAAAAAACAAATATCCCCATTAAAAGTAGGTAAAAAACATGATCACACACACACCCCTCAAAAGAAGACATACAAGCGACCAACAATCATGAAGTAATGCTGAAGATTGCTAATCATTAAATAAATGCAAATCAAACCTACAACGAGATACCATCTCACACTAATTGAAATGGCTGCTATTAAAAAGTCAAAAATAACAGATGCTGATGAGGCTTCAGAGAAAAGGGAATGTTTGTACACTGCTGGGAATGTAAATTAGTTCAGCCACTGTGGGGGAACCACTTTGGGGATTTCTCAAAGAACTAAAAACAGAACTACCATTCGACTCAGCAGTCCCATTACTGGGTATGTTATCCAAAGGAAAACAAATCATTCTAGCAAAAAGACACCTGCACTCACATGTTCATCACAGCACTATCCACAATAGCAAAGACATGGAATCAACCTAGGTGTCCTTCATTGGTGAATTTAGAGAAAATGTGATATATATATACACCATAGAATACTACACAGTCATAAAAAAGAATGAAATCATTTCCTTTGCAGCAACATGGATGCAGCTGGAGGCCATTATCATAAGTGAATTAACTCAGTAACAGAAAACCAAATATGACATGTTCTTACTTCTAAGTGGGAGCTAAACATTGGGTACACATGGACATGAAGGTATAAACAATAAACACTGGGAACTACTAGATGGGGAGAAAAGGAGGGGGGCCAAGGATTGAAAAACTACTGGGTACTATGCTCACTCCCTGGGTGACAAAGTCATTCATACCTGGAACCTCAGCATCATGCAATATACCCACGGAGCAAATCCTGAATCAAAAATAAAAGTTGAAGCTATAATGAAATAAAGTAGTGCCACTTCAACAGTGTTAGTTCAGTGAATGGATATGCCAGTCTCACCAAAATACATGTCAAAAAGTGGTTGTTATTTATATTTGCTATGTATATTTATGAGGTATATATGATGTTTTGACATATGTGTGCATCACAGAATGATTAAATTAAGATAATTAACATATATTTGTCACCATACACACTTATCATTTTTTTTTGTATGTGTGAAAACATTTGAGGTCTACTGTCTTTGCAGTTTTCAAGTACTATATACAGCACACTGTTATTAAATATAGTCACAATGCTGTACAATAGATTTCCAGAACTTATTCCTCCTGTCTAACTGAAGTTATGTGTCCTTTGACCAACATCTCCCCTTCCCCACCCCTACCTCTTGCCAGCCCTGGTAACCACCATTCTGCTCTCTACTCCTATGAGTTCAACTTTTTAGATTCCATGTATAATTAAGATCATGCAGAACTTTTCCTTCTGTGCTTGGCTCATTTTACCTAATATAATTTCTTCCAAATTTGTTCCTGTTGTTGTAAATGATGGGATTATCATTTTTTAAGGCTGAATACTATTCCATTATGTATGTGCACGTGTGTATCTGTGTGTGTGTGGATGTGTGTGTGTAATATGTTGTTCATTTATCTGTTGATAGACACAGATTGATTCTATATCTTGGTTATTGTGAATGATGCTGCAATAAACATGAGAGTGCAGACATCTCTTTGACATACTGATGTAATTTCCTTTAGATGTATAAGCAGAAGTGAAATTGCTGGATCCTATGGTAGTTCTATTTGTTAAGTTTTTAAGCAACCTCCATACTGTTTTCCATAGTGGCCACAACACTTTACATTCCCATCAACGGTATATAAGGGTTACCTTTTCTTCACATCTTCATCAACACTTGGTATCTCTTGCCGTTTTTATAATAATGATTCTAACAGGCATGAGTGAGATCTCATTGCAGTTTTGATTTGCATTTACCTGATGATTAGTGATGTTGAACATCTTTCCAGGTACCCATGGCCATTTGTGTCGTCTTTTGAGGAGAGTCTATTCAGGTCCTTTGCCCATTTTCTAATCAAGTTCTCGTTTTCTTGTTATTGAGTTGAGTTCCTTATATATTTTGTATATTCACCCCTTATCAGGTGTATGGTTTGCAGATATTCTCTCCTATACTGCAGGTTGTCTCTTCTCTGTTAATAGTTTCCTTTGCTGTGTAGAAGGTTTTTAGTTTGGTGTAATCTCATTTGTTTAGTTTTGCTTTAGTTCCTTGTAATTTGGGGATCCTGTCCAAAAAAAATTTGCTAAGACCAATGTCAAGCAGCTTTTCCCCTATTTTTTCTTCTAGTAATTTTTAGAGTTTTGAGTTAACCATTAAGTCTTTAATGTGTTAGGGATACTTTTTAGTGTCATGAAAACTGTTACGTAGTCATCAACTTTTGATATCATATTTCAATAAGAGTATGGCTCATGGATCTGCAGCTGGGTAATCTAGCACAAGTAATTAACTTCTCCATGCCTTAGGTTTCTCATATGTGAAATGGAGACAATAATAGTACATACCTCATAGGTTTTGTAAAGAGTATTAGCAATATATAAAGTGCTTAGAAGAGTACCTACTCATAGGATGTGTCGTTGCTGTTATTATCATTATTAAAAACAAGATCCTTTTGGTAAGAACGTTATTTCATAACAGCAGGCATTTCATTATTAATTGACCTTTAAAAATAATTTCTAAATAAACAGTTACTGTTGTATTTTTTAAACTACCACTACCATTTAACTAAAGTTAAACGATAACTTTAAAATAATGAAAGGTAAACACTTAACATGACAAAAGAGTCATATTTAGTGTAATGTTTAGCCAAACATTTCAAAATTTAGAATAGGCATCGGATAATTTAAAATGAGGATGGGCTAGAAAATAGGAGCCAAAGAGGATGGAATATTACACATCTAGACCCATTTTTTTTCCCAAAGGCTTACAATGTCTCTGAAACTGCTCCCCAAAAAATGAAAACCAATTCTGTTAACGTTTAAGTATCAAAAAACCAAAGGATATCAACCATTTTATATACACACACACACACACACACACACACACACACACACATATATATACATACATATGCATATATATGATGGATTTTATATATATGGATTTCATGTATTATGTCTACACATAAAATATATGATACATAAAATATATATAGTGTGTGTGTATATATATATAAAATGTATGGATTTCATAGCATCATGTGGTTTGCCTTAATTATACACAATAAAATTTATGTTCTAGAACAGGAAATCTTTTGTTACACTGTTGAATACTTACTATTGACTAAAGTCACTGGATATTCACAATTTACCAAATTAGTGCAAGGCAACACAACAGATTATACTTTATCCTGCTGTATCAGGTTTCTTAATATCCAGCATTCACTCAAACACGCAACTATAAAAAGTTGTGTCTGAACAATTTCTACTTCTCTTATGAACATTAATGTGGTAATGCATGCATAATATCTCTGTAGGTGCAGATAAAATATATAATGCTGGTAGTTAAAAATATAATATGTTAGATAAACTTTTATGCAAACGAGGCAAGGGAACTGCAGCCTATTATTTTAAGTAATCGTGGATCTTAAACATTATAATAATAGATATTGAGAATCATATGTTGGTGATTCCCATAATGTGAAATGTAAACCTTTACAATATCATGATATGAAGTATCATTAAGTTTAAACATTAGCTTGCTCTACCTGTGGAAATAAAATTATTTAAATAGCACTATGGTTATTTTACTTATAAAAGTAGACATCTTCATAGATGTAGGTAAAAGTTACAGGCTACTTTATAGCTAATGCTCTCTTCTGGGTAAAAGAGAACCATTTATTGAATGAAATAAAATTCAATTTAATCTTAACATAAAACAGAATTGGTATTATACACATAGAAATGGCAAGTTTTTATTTATTTTATTATATATACTGTATTAATGTATTTACACTGTAATTTGAAAATATTTAATTATTTTTCTTAAAATTTTAAGTTAATATTACCAGGTAAATATTTAAATATAAGAAAAAACATGGGCCTGAATCTTTAGAGCTCTAAAGACTATAAATGCCAGCTCTTTCAGTTTTCAATTTAATTGAAGCCATTGACACTTGCCTCTTAGTCCAATGTCATCCATCAGTCTCACAATGCTTCTGTTTCCAAGCATAAAGAAACAATTTGCTTATTTGGCTCTATATACATGTATACAACAGGTATTATTTAAACACCTATTATAGGCCGGGCACTGTTCCAGAATCAGGAAATAACATGAATTTCTAAAAATCTAGATTATAAACAGCTTAAATTTGAAAAGGGATAGATGTTGTCACAGATAAATGAGTGTGATAACTTTTCCTAAGTGTTTTATTAGATATATGCAGCCACTGAATATGGAGTTTTCAATTATATCTGAATTAGTGGCCACAGAGTGAGTGTGAAACTTAAGCCAAATATTGAACAATGACTATGTATTTGCTAAGCAACATATAAAAGTACAGTGAATAATGAGAATGGTTGGAACATAGGGTTCAAGTAGACCAAGAGAGGATAATTGGAGAATGAAGCGAGGTGTAAGAAGATAAGGTAGAGTTGGAATCACAGATGGATTTTTAAGCAATGTGAACAAATGTTGATTTACCATTATTTTTTATCTTACAAACTCAAACAATATTCTCCCCCTTCCAGCTGTAGCAAACTCAGAAGTACATTTGACAGGGAAGATCACTCTGCATCATTCCCCTAAAAAATTCAATCTTTATACACTAATCTCCATCTCTATATCTGTCCATGCCAATGCAGGCACGCTCATCTCTTATTCAAATTTTTAGAAACGTTCATAGTAGATTCGGACTATCACATCTGGCAGGCATTTGCCTAATTCTCATTTCCTTAACTGACTGCCCTGCACTCTTTCTTGAAGCATGGAACTTACCAACTCCCTCAGTCTCAGACAGACCATGAGAAGACCTATTCCATTGCTCCCTACTATCCAGGTTAACAATAGATTTGCGTTCTATGAACTCTTCTTTTTTTAACCACTCTATAAATCTACTGTTAGAAATAAACTATTTTTATCACATATTTAAAAATCTCTAAAATATGATTAGTTCTTTATTTTCTTCAAATTTATTTTGACGGATTTATCATTAGAATTTTTAGTTACAAATAATTTCTGAGAGACGTTATCTCTCTTTATTACCTGCTTCAAAGCATAAAAAGTCAGAAAATCATATTCCCAAAATAAAAGTACAATATTGGTAGTTTGTTTTCAAAATGTACACACACACACACACACACACACACACACAAACACACAAAGAAAAAAACTCAAAAACCACAAGTGTCATCAATGAAATGTTTAATGAAAAACAGCTTCATCTAATATTTCGCTCTGTCCCTTATGGTATATACAGTTAAGAAAAATAAAGTGACCATGTTATTCTCTGGCAAGACATGCTATTAAAGATAGCTGAGGAACCTTCACATATCTTATATGAACATATTGCTGATGTCAACAGAGCAATTTAAAGTGACTTGAAATTTAGGCAACTTTTTAAATGTTAGTGTCAGTGCAGTTTCTTTGAAGTTTTCTTCAGACACCAGCAACTGTTCCATGAGGAAGACCTAGTAATATTTTCATAGATAGCAATGTCCCCATAATGATTTTGATGAAATGTACTGAGGGGTAACGTCCTATTTTAAAAATTAAACCATTGTTTTCTAAGAATTGCTAATTAATTTATCTGTTAGTGGTTTATCCCTTATAAATATGAGTACTATTATCATCCCAACATATGATTTCCAACTTTCCATGAGTCTTAGAGATCATATATATTCCTTCAATAAGAAGGAACAGGCTGACATAATATTTAAGTCTTGAGTAGAGACAAGGTATTGGAAGGGAGGAATTGAAGATAACATGGTATTTTATGTCTGAGTAAATGAGAGAAAAAATCTTCATTGGCAGAGAGATTGATTTTCTGTATACATGTTCTATCAACTACTATGAGAGAGGTGTTGATGTCTCCTATTACATGTGGAAAGATCTATTTCTCCTTTCAGTTCTATCAAATTTTGCTGTATATATTGTGAAGTTCTGTGATGAGTTCATTTATGTTTCAGGTTTTTATGTTTCTTAGAGAGCTGATCCTTTTATTATTGTATAGTATTTCTTTTCAGTCCTGGTAAATTTCTCATTCTAGAGTTTACTTTGTCTGAAATTAATGTAACAGTTTTAGTTCTTTTTCTAAAATTTGCTATTTGAATATAATATATGTTTTTATCAGTTTTCTTTTAACAAATTTATTATGCCTTCGTTTTTAAACCAGGCTAGTTTTGTGGGTAGCCCATAGTTGGGACTTTTTTATCCCATTTGACAGTTTCTGTCTTTTAATTGGTTGTTAGACTGTTAATGCTCAATGTTATTATTGATATAGTAATATTAAAATACCACTTCGATAGTTAATTCTTATTTTTTCTGTTTTTCCTCTTTTCTGCCCATTTTTGGTTAATAAGATTTTTCAAGATTCAATGTATCTATACTATTGACTTATTCATGGCTGTAAATATTTTAAATATTGTTCTAGGGCTTATCATGTCTATCTTTAAACAATTAGAATCTTCCTTCAAATAGTATTCCATTTCATGTGTGGAATTAAGTATCTTACAATTGTGTAGATTCACAATGCTTTCTTTCATCCTTTATGCTGTTTTTTCATCCATTTTATTTTTACATGTGCTATAAAGATATTGCCACTCTTTTGCTTTAAAAAGTCAGTTTCTTTTTGGAACAATTAAAATGAAGAGATATAAGTTGCATTTTTACCTTTATTTATTCCATTTTTGTATTTTTGTGTAGATCCCTGTTTCTGTGAAATAATGTAATACATCCGCCTAAGATCTTCCTTAACATTTATTTCAGTGCATATCTGCTGGTAAAAAAAAAAAAATTCTCTCAGTTTTTGCCTGTTAAAAAAAGAAAGAAAGAAAAAAGGCAGAGTCTTTATTTCACCTTAAATTTTAAAAGATATTTTAATGAGTTGCCAATGAACACTCTGATATAGGAATAAGAGTGGCACAAGAGCAGATGTCAGTTTTCTGCTACATGACAAAAATTCTGGGTAGCAAACAGTACCCATGCTGTATTAGACATCATTCATCCAAGGATTAGGAGGTATTGTCTCTGCAAATTAAAGTGATGGAGTTAATAAGAATTGGGTAGCTACTTTTAATAACTAGATCTTATGTAAAAGTCAGTCCATATAAACATAAAACCACATCCCTTATATTAACAACCTTGGAGCAAAGGGAGCAGTGCAGGCTAGGAGAAATGCAGAATTGACTCCTGTTCTAGGGGGAGTGCTATGGAATGTAGACTGCTTGATTCTGTAATGGTTTTATTGAGCTGCAGTTCAACCCATTGGCTTCCACCTCTGCTCAAAAGACACAGCTTTGGAATCTAATAATGATTAAGCCACAGTCCAAAAGTGTCAATATGCACTGTCAATTATGTTCACTGGAAAATGAATTTGCCCTGATTTTAAGACTGGGAAAATAGAAAAATAGGCAACTGGTACCACTATTTATTATTCTACCAATTCTTCTAAAAAGGAGCATTTTTTTTTTCCTTTTGAGAGACAGGTGTTGACTCATCATTTTCTAGATGTAAAGTTTAAGAAAAATTGGGATAAGGTTCATTACCTTGTCTTAATCTAATTCAGGGAAAAATGGAAACAAACGTTTAAAGAATTCTGAAATTTAGATTTATCTATTTGCCAAGATCAAATAAAAATAAATTACCTTTTATTCCATTGGCAATGTGAATATTTATGTTCTTCCCATGCTTTTAACAGACTTCCTAAATCTGTGATTCTTAGTTTACTTGTGGGTAATATATTTCCAGATTTTAAAAAGCGAGATAATTATTATTTTGCTGCTGAAAGAACATCAGATTACAATGAAACAAAATGCAGTGAAACAGCTAAATTTTTAAAAAGAAGAAAATGGTCAAGACAACACGAGTGTGTGCAGGTATGTCTGTGATTGTGATGTTTTTAAAAGAAAGGGAAGCTGGGTGGGGTGGTGTGTGTGTGTAGTCCCAGCTACTCTGGAGGCTGAGGCAGGAGAATCAGTTGAATTCAGGCATTGGAGGCTGCAGTGGCCTATGGTATAGAAACTGTATGTCAGCCTGGGCAACAGAAGGAGGTCTTGTAATGACAACAACAACAATAACAACAACAAAACTAATTTTTTTCTCAATAATCTTAAAATCTCTCAATGTACATATTCAAAGTACAATAGGGCCTCTCTTACCATAGTCCATAGGTTCTTGGAAACTGCAACTTCAATGTGAAACAAGTTTTACCATAGGCTAATGACATAAATAAGAGGTAAGTTCCTAGGCATATTTCTGGTCACAAAAACATCACTACATTTCTAAACAAAGACCAAAACATAGCACCACTGCACTCCAGCCTGCGTGACAGAGTGAGCCTCCATCTCAAAACAAACAAACAAACAAACAAAAAACCAAACACTCCTAATGTTCAACATTAAAATAAACTTTAGCTATACATATATTTAAAAAATAACCATTTCAAAATTAGGTAATTATTTTCCTGCTTATTCTAGTTCAGGGTGGCAGGTGCTGGAAGCCATCCAGGCAGCTCAGGATGCAAGATGGGCACCAGCCCTGGACAGGACACCATCCCATTGTAGAGCACATTCACACACACACACACACACACACACACACACAAACACACACACACACACACACACAGTCACTCACACTGAGACAATCTATACATGCCAATTCACCTAACTTTGGCATGTGGGAGGAAACCAGAGTACTAGGAGCAATGCAGACATAGGGAGAAATGTTTTATCATTCATGATATTTTCTATCAGGATGATACTAAACATAAAATCAACTGCTACACAAACATTTTGACAGCAGTAATGCAAAATAACATTACATGGGAATAAATATAACAAGAAATGTGCATATCCTATGTAAGGAAATTTAAAACATAAAAGTTGGGCTTTAATAAATGAAAAGGCATACTAAGATTGTGTGTAATTATATTCAACATCATGAAAACATCAATTCTCCTTAATTTAATGTTTACTTTTTAATGTTATTTTACATACTGTATCTCAAATGACTGGTTCTAATATGCATATGAAAAAAGAAGCATAAAAGGGAAACACTGAAGGAAAAGAAAAAAGAGTAAACGCGGGGAGACTATTCCTTGAGATACCAAAATATATTATCTGGGATATGAATGGACAAGAAAGAAAAATTAATGGAAAGGGAATCCAGTGATCAAGCCACATATAAATAATAATATGCGACATGGTAGTGGCACCTCTCTAATCTTTTGATAAAAGTCTATTCATTATGCTTTTAAGATCCCAGGGTAATATATCTTTTTATTTTTCTTTCTCTGTCTATCATCTCCACATATTATGCTATACAAAATTTCAAAAATCTAAAAATTTAAAAATCTAATCTTATTAAATAAATTAAAAAATATATGCCATAAAAGTATGTCAAAATGTGTAAAATTGTAAACCTTGGAGGTAGGAAGGCTAGTCCAACTGACTCAAGATCTAGAATTAGAAACAAATGAATAGGCTGGGCGGGTGCGGTGGCTCATGCCTATAATCCCATCACTTTGGGAGGCCGAAATGGGTGGATAACTTGAGCTCCGGAGTTTGAGACCAGCCTGACAAACATGGTGAAACCCCGTTTCTACTAAAAATACAAAATTAGCCAGGTGTGGTGGTGGGTGCCTGTAATACCAGCTACTTGAGAGACTGAGGCAGGAGAATCACTTTGAATCCAGGAGGCGGAGGTTGCAGTGGGCCAAGATACCATTGCACTCCAGCTTGGGCAATAAGAGCAAAACTCCATCTCAAAAAAATAAATAATAAATAAAAATATTATCTAAACATAAAATAAATATTTTTGAATGGTTAATTAAAAACACACATAAAAAGTCAAATATAAATAACACAGGGAACTAAATATTTGCAATGTATTGGTATAATCTTTCTGCTATATAAAAATAAAACTATCAAAATTTCAATCAAAAAATGAAGGGTATGAACAAAGTAGGTACAGATCAGAAACTGCAACTGGTTCTTAAATGTATACAAATGTCAAAATTTCTAGCCTCAATAATAATAAGAGAAATAAAAATTAAACACAGGCAGATGTATAGAGATATATTTTAACCCTATCATATTAATGATAATTTGAAAGTTTGATTATACTGTGATGTGGAACCATAAAAAATTAGGTACTATCATGAATCATGATTGGTACAAAACCCTTTAGATGACAACTTGGTAATTTGGCAAAATTACAAATGCAGAGATTCTAGCAATTTGTTCAAAGGAAAAATAACCATTGGTTTATCCAATGGATATACTTATGCATGTTTAAAACCACATGATCTATGTTATTTATTGTACCATTGCGTATGAGAATACAAGAATGGAAGCAAACAATGCAGTCCAAATTGCTGGTTAAATTAATTCTGGTACATTCATATAATGAAATACTATGCTGCAAAAAAATTATGAAGCTCTATGTAACATTATATGGAAAAAATCTCTTAATATAATGTTTTTTCTGAGCAAGAGATAATGAGTAGAAGCATACCAATACTACAACTGACATTTGTGTGTAAAGGAGAAAATAAGAGTTATATATCCATGTTTATTTGGATAGTCATCAAGAAAATTTGGAATTGTTCAGAGAAAAAATAAAACTGAAGTCCCTGGTTTTGGGATGTGTGAAGAAAATATGTCTATTACTTTTTCAAATATAAATTATATAATTTGTTCTGTATTCAGAAAGTTAAATATATTAATTGAATTTAGTTATTTTATAGTTCAAGATATTGAATACTAATGAAAACTTCTGATGGTATGGCCTCAAAACAAAGACAAACATTTTTCTTTCACTAGAATGCTAGTTCCATGAGAAAAGGGATTATCTTTTGCTTACTAATGTATCTAAAGCACCTAGAATATTGCCTGGCACATAATAGAAACTGAATATACATTGAATGAATAAATTAATGAATTAACAAAGCATATGTTAAGAACAATGTGGCCTGTATGTATGTTATCTTCTGGTACTAGTTGAATGAAAGAAAGTGGTTCAGTGAGTATTCTCTCTGACATGAACACACTTTTAGGTTTCCCAATATCCTAATGGATCAATAATAGAAATAGAGTGTTATTTTTCCAGGCTCATACAGTTTAGAGAAACACTGTTTCAGAAGTGACAAGCAATGATAAAATTTTTACATTTCTAATTTCATGCATTAACTATACAAGAAATGCAAATTTATCTGTGGAAGAAAAGAATAATTGAAAAAGTAAGAGGAAGGAAAGTTAAAATCGACCTTATCAGGATGGCAGTGAGTCAGTACTAGTTACACAGTCTATGATTTCTGAGTTGACGCTCAAGTAGGAGAACTCAGATGTCAGTGGCAATTGATGCTACACTGGAATTTTCAACTCTGGAAGCAATCCAAGATTTTTATCTACTATGCTCTTCACATAACTCAGGTGACCACATCTCTCAGTTTTCTAGGAGAGAAACATTTACATGTTATTCCAAGTAATTACAAATAGCACCCTATTTTACTCTCAGAATTGCTCTGGTTTAAATGGTAATGTATTTTGTTACTCTTTCTACGTCCATAACTTCAAAGGCCATGACCAATCAGAAGCAATGAATTCTGCAAGTATGCTGCTCCACACATTTTTCATTTCTCAGATTTACATTTCTCCAAGCCTTGGTAAAATCTAAATATTCAAAAGAAATATATTGAAAAATATTGCTTTCATCTCTCCATTTTCTAATAAAAAAGAATGCCATGATAAACATACTAACCCTACAATCATAGCTAAAAACAGGAGCCACAGTTCTAGAGCCACTTGGTAGCAGAAGCATAGAGAGCATAGGTAAAGAGGTTCTGTCTGTTTACAGTTAATTTTTTTTTGTTTTGTTTTCAGCAAGATATTTTCCCTCTCCATCAAGAACGATGTTTCTAATAAGTAAATTTTTCTTTGTTATTTAAGATTACCAACAGAGATTACCCTAATCCTAGGAAAACAATTTCAGGCCCTGGCAAATAGAAGACCTCTTCTGTCTCATTCAGGTGGATAACCTGAACAAGTCTCTTCAAACTCAAAGATAATTCCTTTATTGACCAAAATGTGCTGGGCTGGGCAGTGCTTGTTGAGATATCCTCTTGATGTCCAGTGCTTGTGTCTTCTTCCACTGATGTATTCCTCTCGACGTCCAGGCAGTTGTGTCTCTGCCTGTTAGTGTCTCGGGGTTTTTACAGGCACTGGATGGAGTCATAGTGGGTCAGGGTAGTCTGGGGAAATGCAACATTGGGCAGGAAAACGGAAATGACTGTTTTCACCTAGGTCTGTGGGCACAGACCTGGGGGCGGAGCCCTAGCCAGGGACCACGCCCTCCCTTTCCCAGCACTTCCCTGCACCCCTCTCCAGTATCATTTCCCCCCTCTGAAGTGGTACATGTAACTGCTGTTAGAATATGGACGGCCGGGCGTGGTGGCTCAGGCCTGTAATCCCAGCACTTTGGGAGGCCGAGGCGGGCGGATCATGAGGTCAAGAGATCGAGACCATCCTCGCTAACACGGTGAAATCCCGTCTGTACTAAAAATACAAAAAAATTAGCCGGGCGCGGTGGCGGGCGCCTGTAGTCCCAGCTACTCGGGAGGCTGAGGCAGGAGAATGGCGTGAACCCAGGAGGCGGAGCTTGCAGTGAGCGGAGATCGCGCCACTGCAGTCCAGCCTGGGCGACAGAGCAAGACTCCGTCTCAAAAAAATAAATAAATAAAAGCATATGGACAATGACCAGTCTTGGCTGCTTCCTGCTGACAGGTGGCATTGTTCTGAGGAAAACGCAGTCAGATTCCTCCCGGAGGTCTCTAAGGGTTCCTAGCAAAGAGGAGCCATCGCCCAAGGCTCCGGTTGCCTGACCGTTTGGAGTATGATGGCTTCTAGGCATGAGAGAAAAAAACAAGTTTTATAAGGTTAAGTATACATAGGCTAAATATGTGTATTATACAAGAAAAGAATTTAGTGCTAAAAATTAAAAAGATAAGAAGTGAAATATACTAACAACAACAATGTACTCTGAGCTGTTTCACTCTGGTGAAAGAAATTAAACCTTGTATGGGAGCGCATAAACGTTTAGAAAGAGATGTTCTTGCCATATCTTTGCAGTTAACAAATGTAACCAGAGAGTTCTGGGGTTTGTGGGCTTGCCTGGTGGCCACTAAAGCTTCTTTCTCTTTCTTGTATTTCCTTTCTCTTTCCTGGGCCTCCCTGTCTCTATTATAAAAGACCAAGGTGGCCACTTTTCAGGAGGTCTCTAATGTACTATGTGGTCCCAGGGCCCATTTCTGTAGCTTCCTCATGATGTTAGCAGTTGCCTGAGTAATAAATGTATCCTTTGGGATTAGCTGTCCCTCGACAGAATCAGGAGATAGAGAGGTGTGATTTACCAAGGCCTCTCTTAGCCTCTCCAGGAAGGCGGTGGGATTTTCATCAAATCTCTGGTTGATCATGGACAACTTAATGTAATTGAGAGGTTTGGTTTTAATCCTACATAACTCCTCAATTATGCACACCTGAAAGTCTCTCTTCTAGTCTTCCAACTCATCACCAAGATCTCATTTGGGGTCATCCATTGGTATTTCTTCTCTTCCAGTTGGATAATATTTGCCCCCTTCCTGGATGCTATATGTGATGCAAAGCTCATCCACAAATCTGTCTGCTGCTCGCGGGGCTGCCTGTTTCTCAGTGTCTGTCAGGGTCTGATTCGAAAGTAACAATGTTTCTCCAGGGCAGTTCAAATATTTGGGTGAATTTCTGGAAAGCCTCTATATATTTTTCAGGGTCATCTGAAAACTTGCCAAGAACCTCCTTAATTTGCTGTAAGTCTTGTAGGGAGAAGGGGACCTGGACCTTACTGGGCCCAAATTCGCTGGGCACCTGTTGGAGGGGCAAGATGAGACTGGGGCTTGTTTAGGGTGAGAATTTCTAGGAGGAAGCCAGTGAGAGGCTGATGCTGGATAGGGAGGTTGGGGTGGACCTGGAGGAGCAGGGCTTGAGGGAGTTGGCTCCTCTGCTGGGGGCACCTCTGGGATTTGTATATTTAATTCCTTGGGCTTGCCCTTGCAACCTTCCCTGAGACAGCAAACAAGAGGACTAGATCAATCCTACATTGTTGACAAAGTTCTTGATTGCCTTGCAAGGTATAGAAAGCTTTCACATATGGGGCCTGAGGTCATCTATCCTCACATCTACAGAAAAGTTCCAACGACCAGATGGTATGAAATGAATGGTCCCTTTCTGTGGCCAGTCCTTGCTGTAAAGGATAATTTGGGCAAACCTCTGTGCAAACGGTTGTGAGGCACTCTTCCTCCACATTCTGAGGATCAAAGCCGTCCCAGTGGTTCAGGACACACTCCAGCAGAATATAAGCTGGGGGTGGTGAAGAAAACTGGCTGCCCATTCTGAAAGACAGGAAATAGAGGCATTTCTCATTCCCTTCCTTCTTACAGTGAAAATTCAGGGTGTGATGGAGAGAAAAAGTGAGCCTCCTCCCTTCACCTTTCACCTCTTATCCCTGATCCCGGGCGACCTTGGCAGGTGCCAGCTATAGGTACTGATGTATGCACCCATGAAGCAGGGAAAACCTGGAGAATAGGAATTAACCAGCATCACCTGTGCCTCCCTTTCTCCCTGCTGTCAACAAACTTTGAGTTTCCTGGGCCTGTTTATGTTGCGAAGCATGGTTTCCTTCCTTGGGGTGGGGTTTTAGTGGGCAGGAATTGGTCCTGCTCATTTACATTGGGCCTGTTGGTTGGCTTTGGATCCCTCAGACCTGGTTTTTCTTTCTAGGGCCTTAGTCTGAAGCTTGAAATCGAGTTTGGGACTGAAAAAGTATTTTTGAGGCTGTTTGTGTCCCATTAAGCTGTCTCAAATAAGCCCTGCTGAATTTGCAGTTTTCAGCTAGCAGGAGTCATTCCTCCATTAACTTCCCTATCAAAAACAGAGTTGGGGAAGGGTGGGGCGGGGTGGGGCGGAGCGGGGTGGGACGGGGCGGGGCGGAGTGGGGGGGGGGGGGGATCCGGGTGAGGCGGGGCTTACTTAGAAAATAAAAAAAAGAGGCCAGGCGTGGTGACTCACGCCTGTAAGCCCAGCACTTTGGGAGGCCGAGATGGGCGGATCACGAGGTCAGGAGATCGAGACCATCCTGGCCAACACGGTGAAACCCTGTCTCTACTAAAAATAGAAAAAATATTAGCCCGGCGTGGTGGCGGGCGCCTGTAGTCCCAGCTACTCGGGAGGCTGAGGCCGGAGAATGGCGTGAACCCGGGAGGCGGAGCTTGCAGTGAGCCGAGATCGCGCCATTGCACACCAGCCTGGGTGACTGAGCGAGACTCCGTCTCAAAAAAAAAAAAAAAAAAAAAAAAAAAGGAAAAAGAAAGAAAAAAGTTTAAGGGGCAAAAGTGGGGAGATCCTGTGGGAAGAATCCCTTGCTTAGTGCAGGTGGGTCACTTTAATTATTGTATCTTTCCCCTGGTTGAGACTGGGTTCGATTCCTTGGCCAGGGGAGAAACGTTCTGTTGGCCTGGCGGGTGAGAAGCACCATCCACTGGCCCTGTGGTTGTTGGGCTCGGCCTTTGGCCTTTGCCTGCTGCCGGCACGCCCAGCAACAAGCTGGGTGCAGAAAGGTTAATGGGAGGTGCCCTGAACCGTGTGTGCCTGTGGTGTCGCGGTGGAGGCATAGATGGCACCTCTAGGAACAGTTGGTCTGATTTGCACCTTTGGCGGCTGAGCCAAATGATCATTTTACTTAGTAACATTGACGCTTTAAATACTCTAAAGCCAGTGAGTTAGGGCAATCATAAAACTCATTTTTTTTTCTGCCTCTTAGGGAGTAATGTCATTTGTTGCCTGATGTGTCTTGAACAACAATATTTTATATATTTTGTCGTTTTTTTCTTGATTGTTTCAGACAAAAGGGTAAACTTAGATCGTGTTAATTCATATTTGCTAGCAAGAATTCCAGATTTCTAAGTCCGGAGAATTTTTTAAAGATTAATGCATATGTATTTTAAAGAAATGTTCTTTATTTTAAATATGATTTATACATAAACTAATACTTTTGTAATTATTTTTAAAAATTATAAGTACATAAATTGCCATTAACTACATTCAAGTAATTTTCCAAATTAGATTAAAATATATTCTCTAAGATTGTTTATCATGATTTAGCATGTTATATACAGTTGATGTCATATTAAAGATAACTGAAATATAAATGTTTTATACTAACATTAAATTTTGCAGTATTGAAGATGTGATAATTTTGAGATAAATTTATTCTTAGTTTACTAAGATTTTCATATGTACTTTAATTAAATTCATGATGGTTATAATTTCAAATGGTATTGCTACATTTAGTGAATACAGCTGTATTCAGTAAATACACCAAAGTGTATATTTTACTAGTAAAATACATATGTATTTTCAAAATTAAGCCAACACAAAGAGAACCCAAAATAAACCTCCATATGTGTACAATATACAGTTATAGTTCCAGCTCCTGCTTATTTAAATTAGTTTTGTAGTCATCCCTGTTTTCCCAATATTAAAGCTATTCTTTCTTTTCTGTACTGATAAAATGCATCTGGAGGTAATAAGATACTTATGTTTGCTTGAAGACACAAATATTATGACTGCTCAGATTCCAAAATTCAATGGCACCTTTGTCACCAATTACTTTAGCAGAACTTTGCTGAGATCATTTTTAAGAAATCCTTTGACATACGCATGGGCTTGCTCATTTTCAGTTTAAGCAAACAAAACCTACTATCTGCATTTCCATGTAGAGAAAATAATTCTGATTACTCTAAGGGGTTGTAGATAAATATACATAAAGATATAGCCAATTTAAACTTACCAAAAAAAAAGCTCTGATAAGGTTTTAACACGAAGTTTATTTTTAAAACTTATTCACAGAATTCCAAGAAGATAATTTTTGCTAGTCTTAAAATGTTTAATAAGAACAACTATAATAAAAGCTAACACTGAATGCTTACACTATGCATGCTATAGTGTAGTTGCAGTGTCTAAGGGTTTTGCATGTTAACTAATTGAATCTAAATTGAAAACCAAAATGATTTATTGTTATCCTCATTTTGCTGTTGCAGAAACTGAGGCATGGACAGGTTTTTAACATGTCATAGATATAATAGCTTTCCATAGATGGCATATTTAGAATATGCAGTATTTGGTTTTCTGTTCCTAATAGTGAATCAAGGATTCAAAGCCAGAAACACGATGACTCTGGGTCCAGATCCCTATCTGCTAAGGCGTTACTTTTTTGTATCTCTCTACCTTAGAAGCAAATTAATGCTTTCTTTTAACAAGTCAGGTTGATCAACAATGTTAGTCTCATGCACTTCATATTTCTAATTACTATACTCTCATGATTTCAAAATGTATATCTTGTGATCCCGAAATCTCTCCTGACATGCATCGAGCCTCTCCACCTAGACTTCAGCATCACCATGAACGAGCTTCTTATTCTCTTACCCTAAATATGACTGTTGCACTTCTTCTATAATGATTGAAATCATTGATTATCTATACTCACTATTTCTCTATTTCTATCCTTCCTCTCATTTTTTATTTGAAAAAAAATTAAGTTTATTACAAAGTTACAGGTATAATACAAATAATTTCTTTTCTGAACAATTTAGTAATAAGTTGCTGATATCACTTCCAAATACTTTACTGTGCAGTTTTATTTTACAAATAAGGACATTCTTATTGTTAAACACAGTACAACCATAAAAATCAGTAAATTTACATTAATATATTGCTAACATTAATTCTAAGATCCCATTGAAGTTCTTTTTTTAACTTTTACTTTCAGGGGTACATGTGCAGGTTTGTTATACAGGTGAATTCCGTGTCACAGGGGATTGGTGGATGGATGATTTTATCACCAAAATAATAAGCATAGTACCCAATAGGTAGTTTTTCAAACCTCACCCTTCTTCTATCCTCCACACTCAAGTAGGCCCTAGTGTCTATTGATCCCTTTTTTGTCACCGTTTGTACCCAATATTTAGCTCCCACTTATAAGTAAGAATATGCAGTATTTGGTTTTCTGTTCCTGCATAAGTTTATAAGAAAATGGCTCCCAGCTGCATCCATGTTGCTACAAAGGACATAATCTCGTTTTTCTTAATGGCTGTGTAGTATTCCATGGTGTAGATTTACCACATTTTTTAATCTAGTGTTCTGTTGAAGGGCATTTTGGTTTATTCCATGTCTTTACTATTGTGAATAGTACTGTGATGAACATACATGGGCATATGTCTTTATGGTAGAATGATTTACATCCCTTTGAGTATATACACAATACTGGGATTGTTGTGATGAATGGTAGTTCTGTTTTAAGCTATTTGAGAAATGGCCAAAATGCTTTCCATAATGACTGAACTAATTTACATTCCTACCAACAATGTATAAGTGTTCTTTTTTCTCTGTAACCTCGCCAGCACCTGTTCTTTTTTGACTTTTTAATAATAACCATTCTGACTTATGTGAGATGGCATCTCACTGTGGTTTGATTTGCATTTCTATAGTGATTAGTGATGTTGAGTACTTTTTTATATGTTTGTTGGCCACATGTATGTCTTCTTTTGAAGTATCTGTTCATGTCTTTTGCCCATTTTTTAATGGGGTTGCTTGTTTCTTGCTTGTTAATTTAAGTTCTTTATACATTCTGGATATCAGAGCTTTGTCAGATGCAGAGTTTGCAAATATTTTCTCCCATTCTGTGGGTTGTCTGTTTACTCTGTTGATACTTTCTTTTGCTCTGCAGAAGCTCTTTAGTTTTATTAGATCTCATTTGTCAATTTTTGTTGTTTTTTTTTGCAATTACCTTAAAGTTTTATCACTAGTCTCACAATGCCCTTTAGAGCAAGAGCATTCAATTCATAATTACAAGTACTACTGAATTTTTATGTCTCTACTTTTTTCAATCTTGAATAGATGTTCAATCTTTCTTTGAATTTCATGACCACTACGTATGTGAATATAAAAACAATTATCTTATATAATGATCCTCATAATGTATTTAATGTGTCCCATGATTACTTTCATGTTGTGATTCTTTGACTTTAAAAGTGATACTCTGGCAGATCATTTCCATTTGTTTCCTTACTGGTTATGTTAACTCTGATTATCTGGCAGAATTCCCAGTTATCAGACTTCTTACTGACTAGTCAGTCAATAAATATTCAAACAAATATCCCAACAAAAAAATTTTGTTGGGAACTATGTTGAGACTATGTAAATATCTTGTAATTATAAACTTTCAATGTACTCAATTACATTCAGTATATTCAAATTTATCATGGCTTCCTGTTTAAAAAATAATTACAGTTTGCTACTATTATTATTTTTATAATCAGATTGTCCCTCTTTGGCCAGTGAGGGTCCACTTAAGTTAGCCTCTGTATCCTTTGAACATGCTCTTTTCCACTTTATTGAGTGTCTCTATTCTAGCATAAGATAGCCAAAATTCATCTTGCTTTTTGCCTTCGCTAGCCTTGGAAACAGCCACTTACCAAAAAAGCATGGTACTGATACAAAAACAGACACATAAGCCAATAAACAGAATGGAGATCTCAGAAATAAGACCGCACATTTACAACCATCTAATCTTTGAACAAGCCTGACAAAAGCAAGCAATGGAAAGAATTCCGTATTCAATAAATGGTGCTAGAATAACTGGCCAGCCATATGCAGAAAATTGAAACTGGACTCCTTCCTTACACCATATACAAAAATTAACTTAAGATGGATTAAAGACTTAAGTGTAAAACCAGAAACTACTAAAACCCTGGAAGACAACCTATGCAATTCCATTCAGGACATAGGCATGGGCAAAGATTTTATGATGAAGACACCAAAAGCTATTGCAACAAAAGCAAAACTTGGCAAATGATATCTAATTAAACTAATGAAGCTCTGCACAGCAAAGAAACTATCAGCAGAGTAAACAGACAACCTATAGAATAGGAGAAAATTTGTGAAAAATATGTATCTGACAAAGGTCCATTATTGAGCATCTTTAAAGAACTTAAACAAATTTACAAGAAAAAATCCTCATTTAAAAATGGGCAAAAACTTGAACAGACACATCTCAAAATAAGACATACATGCAGCCAACAAGCATGCTAAAAAAAAAAGCTCAACATCATTGATTGTTAGAGAAATGCAAATCAAAACCACAATGAGATACCGTCTCATATCAATCATAATGGCTATCATTAAAAAGTCAAAAAATAACAGATGCCAGCTAGGTTGTGGAGAAAAAGGATCACTTACTCACTGTTGGTGGGAGTATAAATTAGTTCAACCATTGTGGAAGACTGTGTGGCAATTCCTCAAAGACCTAAAGTCAGAAATACCATTTGACTCTGTAATTTCTTTACTGGGTATATACTGTTACTCCTTTTTCTAGTCAGAAAAGGTTTCTACCATCATAGTCTGGTAAAACTTTAGAGAATTTTAGTAAAAATTTTAAAAAGTTTGTACTTCCATAACTACATGTGTTATGGATATGAACATGTTCATATCCATATAACATGTTTATATCCATATCATATATGGGCATTAATAACCACATAATGGGGTTTATATTCTTGCTGTGTCAGGTCAGAAATGACATTTGACTCAGTAATTCCATTACTGGGTATATACTGTTACTCCTTTTTCTAGTGAGAAATCAGGCTCTCATAAACATTAATATGTCTATTTATGGAACTTCTTGTATGTATCTAATCTCTCATAACCACCATTGTCTGCTCCCCTGCATTATTGCCCTCCCTGCATTCTTGCCCTCCCTACACCACTTGACTCGAACTTCCTGCCTGAGCTACTTATGTTGCCACACAATTGGATGTGTGGCAATCCCACCCTAAGCTAACAATCTGTGCTGACTGCCTCTCCTCAGGTATGCCCTCTGATGCCACATGGGCTCCAATATGCTGTACTAGAGAGCACTCCATATGACACCATTCTTTACTCTGATCAGGACCCTGTTAAATTCAAGATAAATGCCTAAATATTTACAATAGATCAAAAGACCCCGCAAGATAAAGCTTCCTTGTTCCTAGTAAGAACAGATCATTTACTACTCCCTACTCACTCAGCTTCAGCCACCCACCCTTCTTGCTATTCCTAAAATACACCAGACACTCACTTCTCATAGGGAATTTGAACTTGTATTCTTTGCACTATGCACTTGTTGCTCTTATTTTCTGGAATTCCATTTCATCAGACAACTGCAAAGCTAATTACCTCATCTTCTTTCTATTAGTAGTCAAATGCCACCTCGTCAGCAAAGCCACAATACAGTCTTGTTAACTATAGGAACAACACTGTGTAATAAATATCTAGATTTTGATCATCCTGCATAACTCAAACTGTACACCCATTGAATAGGAAGTCCCCATTTTCTCCTCCCTTTATCCTCTGGCAACCACCATTCTACTCTCTGTTTCAATCTATTTGCCTACTTTATATACCTCATATAAGTAAAATCATGAAGTATTTATCCTGTGGTGACTGGCTTGTCTGGTGTAGGATGATTTCCTTTAGGTGCATCTACAGTTTTACATATGGTGGAATTTCTTTGTTTAATGTTGAATAATATTGTATTATATGTATATTCATATTTCTACTAACAGTGTACAAGGGTTCAAATGTCTCCACATTTTCACCAACAGTTTTTTAAAAACTATGGCCATCTTAATAGGCATGAGGTGATATCTCATAGTTTCGATATACATTTCGCTGATGATTAGTGATGTTGAGTATCTTTTCATATACTTCTTGGCCATTTGTGAGTGTTCTTTAGAGAAATGCCTACTTATGTCATTTGCCAATTTAAAAATCAGATTAGTTGTTTGTTTATTTTTTGGTATTGAGTTGTAGGAGTTCATGTCCTGTTTTTTAAAAATTTTTACAATTTTACATCTTATTTTTTTCCATGAAGACCTCTATTATGTATCATTCTTAAGTAGGTTAATCAGTATGAATAATCTACACAAATTAATCAATTGGCACAAATCAATCTGCAGATATTATGACTTTTATTGTTCATCCTTTGTTATCCATGACATGCTATGTCCCAGTTTACCTGTTAAAATACTTGTTAATTATCTTTAAAAAATTTTTATTCTCTGTGAGGTTATCATTCTTGGTTTTTCTTTCTTTTTTTTGTAATTTATTCTAGACATTTTTTTAGCAGGAATCAGTACCAGGAATAAATTTGGTTAAATATTCAGCTTTAATTCTTCCTTATTTTTACCCGCTAAATATATCAGATACCCTCATAGTCTTGTGAAACTTTAGAGAGTTTTAGGAAAAATTTTAAAAAGTTTGTACTTCCATAACTACATATGTGTTATGGATATGAACATGTCCATATCCATATAACATGTTTATATCCATATCATGTATGGATATAAATAACCACATAATGGGGTTTATATTATTACTGTGTCAGGCAATTATGGATGTTTTCATTGCTTGAAAACTGAATTTTGTTTTTTTGATACAAAATTAATCATATGCTAAAAAATTTAGCCTAGCAAATTAAACTAATGAATGATATTCCTGTCATGTGTTATGAAATAAAATTAGGAAAATTATCTTTATGGTTTTCTCAATCAAAGATAAAATTTATTCATTCATTCATCACATGATTACTGTGCACCTTCTGTATAACAGACATGGTTCTACAGTTTGATAATCATTAGAGAACAAAGGAAATAAGTCTGGCACTCATGCACTGATGCTACATAAGATGTATTCTAGAATATTGAAGATGAAAGTCATTATACCTTTATGAACTGAAATATTTAATAATATAATGCAGATGTTCTTCAAAAGTATCAGAGTAGATTATGCAAAAAGAATTTGTACAAATGATTAAAGATAGTCGCACTCATAATTTTGATACCCTGTCAATACCAGTTGGTTTTAGTTTTCCTCCTATACAATGATGTGTGTAATTGGGCATAAAGATGGATGTAGCATTGTAGTCTTGGATTCATCCTTACAATTTCCTTCTCATGCTTTGTTTGGCTGGAATAAATAGGAAATAATTTTTTATTTTTTTCTGCTATTCGCACCCCAAGAGGGCCAACCTAGTTTATGAAAATCAAACTGTACGTTTTTATAGCTTCTGTTTTCATGGACGTTTTGAATTGCCACCTCAAATCATTGCAGAATCAGATATGGTTTCTATTACCTTACCATTTTGCTTATAATTTATGAAGCAGACAGGATTTGTGTTTGATTTCCTTAAGCTTCACTGAAATTCTAGGTTGAGAATAACATTTATTTTGACTGGAAAGCTGAATAAACAAAATTTCAGAGTTTTAACAAGAATCATTTATCAAATCCATTGAGTTTAAAAAGTAGAATAATTCTACAGAGTATTTATGTTTTCTTCTTTCTTTAAATGTTAGTTGTGTCAATAACATTTCAGAGTATGGATTTGGCTACAGACAGTCATCTTTACAGGATAAAATGGATAGGTTTGGCTCTGTGTCCCCACCCAAATCTCATAGCTCCTATAATTCTGACATGTTGTGGAAGGAATCAAGTGGGAGATAATTGAATCATGGGGACAGGTCTTCCCTATGCTGCTCTTGTGATAGTGAATAAGTCTCACGAGACCTGATCATTTTAAAAATGGGAGTTTCCCTGCATAAGATCTCCCTTTGCCTTCTGCCATCCATGTTAAGACGTGACTTGCTCCTCCTTACCTTCTACAATGATTGTGAGGCCTCACAGCCACATGAAACTGTGTGTCCAGCGAACGTCTTTCTTTTGTAAATTGCCCAGTCTTGGGTAGATCTTTATCAGCAGTGTGAAAATGGACTAATAGAGTAAATTGGTACTGCGAGTGGGACGCTGCTGAAAAGATACCCAAAAATTTGGAAGTGACTTTGGAACTGAGTAAAAGGCAGAGGTGGGAACAGTTTGGAGGGCTCAGGAGAAGACAGGAAAATGTGGGTCAGTTTGGAACTCTCAGGAGACTTGTTGAATGGCTTTGACCAAAATGCTGGTAATGATATGGATCATGAAATCCAGGCTGATGTGGTCTCAGATGGAGATGAGGAACTTGTTGCGAACTGGAGGAAAGGTGACTCTTGTTATGTTTTATCAAAGAGACTGGTGGCATTTTGCCCCTGCCGTAGAGATCTGTGGAACTTTGAACTTGAGAGAAATGAGTTAGGGTATCTGGCAGAATAAATTTCTAAGCATCAAAGCATTCAACAGTTGACTTGGGTGCTTTTAAAAGCATTCAGTTTAAAAAGGGAAACATATAAAAGTTTGAAAAATTTGCAACCTGCCAATGCGATAGAAAAGAAAAAATCTGGCTGGGCACAGTGGCTCACGCCTGTAATCCCAGCACTTTGGGAGGCTGTGGCGGGTAGATCACGAGGTCAGGAGATCGAGACCATCCTGGCTAACATGGTGAAACCCCGTCTGTACTAAAAATACAAAAAAAAAAAAATTAGCTGGGCATGGTAGCGGGTGCCTGTAGTCCCAGCTACTGGGGAGACTGAGGCAGGAGAATGGTGTGAACCCAGGAGGTGGAGCTTGCAGTGACCCGAGATCATGCCACTGCACTTGAGCCTGGGCGACAGAGCAAGACTCCATCTCAAAAAAAAAAAAAAAAAAAAAAAAGGAGAAAAGAAAAAATCCATTTGCTGAGGAGAAATTCAACTGGCTGCAGAAATTTGCATAAGTAACAACTAGCTGAATGTTAATCACCAGGACAATGGGGAAAGTATCTCTAGGGCATGTCAGAGACCTTTGCAGCAGCCCGTCTCATCACAGGCCCAGAGGTTTAGAAGGAAAAAATGGTTTTGTGGGCTGGGACCAGGGTCCCTTTGCTTTGTGCAGTCTAGGTACTTGTTGCCCTGCATCCCAGTCACTCCAGCCATGACTAAAAGGGGCAAAGGTACAGCTCAGGATGTTGCTTTAGAGGGTGGAAGCCCCAAGCTTTGGCACCTTCTATGTGGTGTTGAGCTTGTGAGTGCACAGAAGTCAAGAATTGAGGTTGAGGAACCTCCACCTAGATTTCAGATGATGTATGCAAATGGCTGGCTGCCCAGGCAGAAGTTTGCTGTAGGGGTGGGGCCCTCATGGAGAACCTCAGCTAGGGCAGTGTGGAAGGGAAATGTGGGGTAAGAGCCCCCAAACAGAGTCTCTACTGGGGTACCATCTAGCAGAGCTGTGAGATGACAGCCACCATTCTCCAGATGCCCAAATGGTAGATCCACTGACAGCTTGCATCATGCAGCTGGAAAAGCCACACACACTCAGTGCCAGCCCATGAAAGCAGCCAGGAGAGGGGCTATACCCTGTAAAGTCACAGGGGCAAAGCTGCCTAAGGCCATGGGAGCCCACCTCTTCCATCAGTGTGACCTGGATGTGAGACATGTAGTCAAATGAGATCATTTTGGAGCTTTAAGGTTTGACTGCCCCACTGGATTTCAGACTTGCATGAGGCCTGTTGCCCCTTCGTTTTGGCCAGTTTCTCCCATTTTGAATGGCTATATTTACCCAAGACTTGTACCCCCATTGTATCTAGGAAGTAACCAACTTGCTTTTGATTTTACAGGCTCATAGGCAGTAGGGACTTGCCTTGTCTTGGATGAGACTTTGGATTGTGGACTTTTGAGTTGATGCTGAAATGAATTAAGACTTGCGGGGACTGTTGGGAAGGCATGAATGGTTTTGAAATGTGAGGACATAAGGTTTGGGAGGGGCCAGGGTGGAATGATATAGCTTGGCTCTGTGTCTCCACCCAAATCTCATCTTGTAGCTCACATAATTGCCACGTGTTATGGGAGGGACCCAGTGGGAGATAATTGAATCATGGGGGCAGGTCTCTTCCGTGCTGTTCTTGTGATAGTGAATAAGTCTCATGAGAGCTGATAATTTTAAAAATGGGAGTTTCCCTGCACAAGCTATCTCTTTGCCAGCTGCCATCCATTTTAGATGTGACTTGTGTCCCCTTACCTTTTGCCATGATTGTGAGGTTTCCCCAGCCAAGTGGAACTGTAAGTCCAAAGAACCTCTTTCTTTCTGCATTGCCCAGTCTTGGGTATGTCTTTATCAGAAGCATGCAAATGGACTAATACTATGAAATTATGCAAAGATTTTCACTTTTTAAAAAATTTGTGCACTTGTTTTTTATTTTAAATCTCCATTTAATTATGTCAGATAATTTGATTTTGATGTGTATCCGTAAACATTATAGTGTATATTTTGATGAAATAAGTCAAGTAACTTGGGGAATTAGAATTTGGGAAAAATTATTTGAGCACCTGATTGTTTTTGAGTTAAAATGCTTTTTAACGTACTTTCAGGAAATGTTTTATGACTTCAAAACTATTTAAAGCCTTCTTAACTTATAGCTCACACAAATTCATACCATTTAAATTTTTAAAATTTACTATTTGATAATATGGTTTAAACAATATTACAAATAAATTTTAAGCAACTCTTGTTTGTTTGTTTTTTGAGACGGAGTCTTGCTCTGTCACCCAGGCTGGAGTGCAGTGGCACGATCTCGGCTCACTGCAACCTCTGCCTCCCAGGTTCAAGCAATTCTCCTGTCTCAGCCTCCCCAGTAGCTGGGACTATAGGCGCCTGCCACCACACCCAGCTAATTTTTGTATTTTTAGTAGAGATGGGGTTTCACCATATTGGTCAGGCTGGTCTCGAACTCCTGACCTCAGGTGATCCGCCCGTCTCAGCCTCCCAAAGTTCTGGGATTACAGGCGTGAGCCACTGAGCCCGGTGCAACTCTTTAAAAGGTAGACATTTCATGAAAGGCAGGCCATAATTCTTATTTCAGGTTCTCTAAAATTTTAACTCCTTTGAAATGAATAAAACATAGTGACTTTTTTTTTTCTTTTAAAACAGGAACTTGTGGTGAATAACAAATAAGACACTTTTTACATTTTTGTTTTTTGTTTGTTCAAAATGAGTTAATATGGTCACAGGTTAAAGTCCTTTTTGGATAACATAATTAACAGATTTAGAAATCTCTAAAATTTCATCTCACAAGGATAGATAATTGCATTTAATGTCAGCCACAATAAAATTTAGGAGTTGTTATATGGCATTATTTTAGAACACTGTATGGATCCAAAGGCATTGCAAAGAAAGAACAAGGATTTAGTAAATTTAGGCTAAGTTGAAGAAATAGGAGAGCAGAGGAACACAGGATTAGCTAAGCCTAAGGTAGATACCAGGATATGGGTTAAGACATGGTCAAGAGTATGGAAACTTATCAAAACACAGCATTAATCATAGATTTATGTTTTTATTGAACACAAAACACCTCCTATATGCTAAGTACTCTTCTAGGTGCTAACACTGAGATGAGATGCACCAATAGGACTGGGTATCAACAACAAACATATTAATGACTAAAAGGTTTTCATGTCTTAGAAGAGGTACATACCAAAACCTGACTGTGTCAAATGTCATGGTAAATATAAAATTAGACATTAGTAAGCAAATGTTCAGATAGCATATCTCATTGCAAAAACGAAAACAAACTAGAAGAGAAAAAAAAGGTCTGCTTTCTTCTCACAATATAAATGTATTCAGTGAATGCATCTTCTTTTCATTTGCTCTGGCAAGAATTCTACTCCATATTTTTTACCTTTTCTCCATAACATCAGAAATATAAATTAACAAACAGCATTTGTTTGTGTTTATTGTTGTTTATCTTTAGTGTTTATTGTTGTTATCTTTAGTGTTGTTATCTGCAGTTCAGTTTCTCTGGCTAAATGCAAATGTCTAGTCTTTCTGTCTCCAATTTTGTCCATTCTTATTGATTCTGCAAATTGAAGACAAGCTGATCTTTTCCACACACATATCTGATCTGAAAAATCAAGCCAGTGATGAAGGAAGTATTGGCTAAACACAAATATGAAAAAAGATTTGCATTTGGAATATATAAGACACTCTGAAACTCAATAACAAAAAATAAAATAGCCCAGTAATATATGTAAAAAGACATTTCACCAAAAATATGGGTGGCATATAATATATACAAAATATATATGGAAGGAAAATAATACAAACATAGATGTTTAACAACATTAGATATTAGAGAAATGCAAATTTAGAGCACAATAAAATACTTCTGCATATGTATTGGAATTGCTAAAATAAAGAAAAACCATCCAAATAAGATAAATGCAAGGCAACTAGAATTTTCATATATTGATGAGAATGCAAAATGGCATAGTCACTTTGGAATATATTTTGACAGTTGTTAGTAAAGGTAAATATATACCTGACATATTACCCACAATCCCAATCTTAGATAGCTAAGTAAGAGTCATGAAAGCTTCCATTTTCACATGTTTATTGTTATATTTTTAAAAACAGTAAAAATAAAATTAAATACTTTCAGCTGATGAATGGATAAGCAATCTGTGCTCTATCAATACTATAGAATACTGCTCAGCAATAAAAAGGAAGAGAATACAGATACACACAGCAACATGGATAAATCTCAAATGTTATACTGAATGAAAGCAGCCAGATTAAAAGTTTACTTCGTATATGAGTCCATTTATATGACATTGAAGAAGAGGCAAAATTTTAGTGATAAAAAGCCAATCAGTAGGTAATAGGAACTGAGGATTGGAGTTGGTTTGTCTTAAAAGAGCACAAAGGAATTCTTATGTGATGACACTTTTCTATATTTTGGTTGTGGTATTATGTCTGGCTCAATCCATTTGTCAGACTATAATAAAAAGGATAATTTTTACTGTATGTAAATTATGATTCAATAAACCTGACTTAAGAAATAATATGATTATTCTATTACTTTAAATCCTCAATTATTCTGTTATCCAAAGGTGAAATTCACACTCTATGAAATGACATATGTGTCTTTTAGTTTATTAGTTTGTTAGCTTATAATTTGTCCTAGTTAGCCTTTCCTATGCTCCTCTTTCCATATTCTTTAGCCAAATCCCATATTCAGTTAAACTGGCATGACCAGTTTCTAAAACATGCCAGTCACTTTCTACTTTATATGTAAGCCATGTGTTTTAAATTTATATGCATTACTACAATGTATAGGGCTGAAATTTTCTTAATTTTTTTATGTAATTGCAATCAGTTTGCTTATGAACTTCCATTTCTACTCAAAAGAGGAAAATGTATTATCTGTCCCTGTAAGGAAACTCTGTGCTGTTCAAGTTAAAACAGCCTCTTCAGGGTAATTTCTCAATCAGTATTGCATTTAAGCTTAGTCCATTTCAAATTAAAACTTATTATTAGTGATACTGTTCTCTCTTAATAATTATCCCCCTTTTCCCTCTCTCTGATCTTCAGGGGAAATATTCATAACCTGTGGCATTAGAAAGGGGTGCAGAGTGCTGAGCTGTTGTCATGGTCAGCTGTGGCATCTCTGATGCATCTTGATGCATCTGGTGCAAATCCAGGCTCTGGTTCACGTCCTGTCCTAGCATCTGCTCCTGCTGTAGCTTGCTGTGTTCACTCATTTGAGATTGGAATATATTATTGTTATCCTGTCCATGGTATTTGCTGTGCCAACCAGTTGTACGGTTCACAAACTATGTCTTCCTTGTTCAGACCACAGGCATCTTCTCAATAGTTTGATGACATGTCTGTTTCTTCTACTGAGTTACAACTTATAAAAAAAGTATAAGTTCAATCTTCTGAGCATTGATTTTTGTCATTTGAGTTAAGCTTTTAAAATAAAAAACCCATTCAACCTTTCAAGTGCCTGGGTCTTCTCGTCTGACAACCAGTTTATAAGACAGACTCTTTTGGATTGGCTTCAATAGGCTCTTAGAATTTCAAAGCTGAAAATAAAAGTCTCCTCTAATTCCTTTGTATTTCAATCTTTGAAAAATTAAGGTCTCCCTCAATAAAATAATTTCCTCTGGATGAATAAAAAGCAGGAAACATAGGGATATTTTTAAAAAGTAAATTTAAAAAACAAAAATAAGAAAAAAAAACCATCAGCTTGCACACATTCTGCAATATCTGTGTGATGTGTGCCCCATCCCTTTCCTGAGCACTTTCCACCCATCCTTTGGGGATCTTAAGTAATATTAATAAGAAAATTCTGATCTCCAAGGAGTGTATTAGCTGTCACTTCTGTGTCATATTTATGCAAATGTGTTCCCATTGGCAATACTTATCACACTTATGGAAAATCCTCTTTAATTAAAATTTGAATTATGATTTATTTTTGAATTTATGGGGTATTTAAAAGTGTTGCTTTAAATTTTTTCATTATATGTAATTATTATAATATTTATGGGATACGGAGTGATATTTTGATACATATGTACAATGTGTAATGATAAAATCAGTGTAATTGCCATATTTATCACCTCCAACTTTTTTTTATTATTATGAACATTCAAAATCTCTTCTAGGCTTTTGGAAATATACATTAAATTATGGTTAATTATTTTCACTCTACATTGCTGTAGAACCCTATACATTATCCCTCCCAACTAAGTGTAAATGTTTTGAGTCCCACATTTAAGTATTTAATTCATTTTAATTTGTTTTTGCACATGGTAAGAGCTAGGAGTCTAGTTTTATTCCTCTGCTGTAAATATTGTTTACCCAGCATTATTTATTGAAAAGATTGTTCCTTTTTCAATGAATGTCCTTGCTGCCTTTGTCAAACATCAGTTGGCCGTAAATACAAGAATTTATTTCTGGGTTATCTATTATCTTCCACTAGTCTATGTGTCTGTTTTTATAGTGATACTATGCTATTGTATTTGCTATAGCTTTGTAATATATTTTGAAGTCAGGTAGTGAAATGCCTCCAGCTTTACTGATTTTGCTTAATATTACTTTGGCTATTTGGGGTCTATTGTGGTTGTATATGAGTTTCAGGATTTTGTTTTCTATTTCTGTGAAGAATATTATTGGCATTTGATAGGGATTGCATTGAATATATGGATTGCTTTGAGCAACATGGCTATTTTAAGACTATTAATTCTTTTAATCCATGAGCATGGGATGTATTTCCAATTATTCGTGTCCTTTTAAATTTTTTTCATCAATGTTTTATAATTTTTATTGTACGGATCTTCCACCTGTTTGATTAAATGTATTGCTAGGTACTTTATTTTTCTGTAAGTATTGTGAATGAGATCACATATTTCATTTTCAGTTACTTCTTTATTGGTGTATAGAAGTGCTAGTGATTTTTTTATATTGATATTGTATCCTGCATATGTACTGAATTTGTTTCTTAGTTCTAAGAGTTTTTTGGTAGAGTCTTTAGGTATTTTAGTATATAAGATTATGTCATCTTTAAAGGGGGACAGTTTGACTCCTGCTTTTCCAATTTGGATGCCCTTTATTTCTTTATCTTGCCTAATTGCTCTGGCTAGAACTACGAGTACTATGTTGAATAACAGTAGTGAAAGCGGGCATCTTTGTCTTATTTTAATTCTTAGATATAGATTTTCAATGTTGCCCCATTCAGTATTAGTTGTGGGTTTTTCATATATGGCCTTTATTGGGATACGATATAGTCCTTTTATATCTAATTTGTTGAGTTTTTATCATAAAGAAATGTTGAATTTTATCAAATTTTTTTTGCAATTATTGAGAAAATGAAATGGCTTTGGTCCTTCATTCCATCATTGTGATGTATTACATTTGTTGATTTGCATATGTTAAACCATCCTTTCATTCCCGGCATAAATTTCACTTGATCATGTTTTATTTTTTTAATGTGTTGCTGGATTTCATATGCCAATATGTTGATGAGAATTTTTACATTTATGTTTATTGAGGATATTTCCCTATAGTTTTATTTTTTTTGTTGTGCTTTTGTCTTGTTTTGGTATCAGGATAATTCTGGTCTTATGGAATAAATTAGGAAGAATTCTTTCTTTTCCAGTTTTTTTTAATAGTTTGAAAAGAATTGGTATTAGTTCTATTTAAAAAGTTTGATAGAATTCAGCAGTAAATTCATCTGGTCCAGGATTTTCTTTCCTGGGATTCATTTTATTAATGATTCAGTCTTATTATTGGTTATTGGTCTGTTCATGTTTTCTAATTCTTCCTGGTTCAATTTTGGTAGATTTATATGTCCAGGAATTTATCTATTTCCTCTAGGTTTTCTAATTTGTTGCTATGGAATTGCTCATAATAGTCTGTAATGATTTTTTTTTATTTCTATGGTATCAGTTGTAATGTCTCCTTTTTCATTTCTGAAAATATTTATTTGGGTCTTCCATCTTTTTTTCTTAGTCTAGTTAATGGTTTGTTAATTTTGTTTATCTTTTTTAAAAATAAACTTTTGGTTTTGTTGCTCTTTGTATGTTTTTTAAAATTCCTATTTTGTTTTATTCTGGTCATATCTTTTAAATTTCTTTTCTCCTAGTAATTTGGGGTTTGGTTTGTTCTTGCTTTTCTAGTTCCTTGTTAGGTTGTTTACCTGAAATCTTTCTACTTTTTTGACATAGGCATTTATTATTATGACCTCTCTTAGTACTGATTTCCTATATCTCATAGGCTTTGGTATGTTATGTTTCTGTTTTTATTTGTTTCAATTTTTTAAAAATTTCTTTTTAATTTCTTCATTGACTTAATGGCCATTCGGGAGCTTATTATTTAATTTCCATGTGTTTGTAGTTTCTAGAGCTCCTCTGTTTACTGACTTATACTGTTATGGTCTGAGAAGATATTTGTTATGGTTTTGATATTTTTATATTTGTTGCAGTTTGTTCTGTGGCCTAACATGTTGTCTATCTGGAAAATGTTTCATGTGCTGATGAGAAGAATATGTATTCTACAGCTGTTTGATGAAGTGTTGTAAATGTCTTTTAGCCCCTTGGCCTATAATTCATTTAAGTTGAATGCTTCTTTGTTGTTGTTTTGTTTGAGTGTTCTGTCCAATACTGAAAGTGAGCTATTGAAGTCCCCAACCACTATTGTATTGGGGTCTTTCTCTTTAGCCTTAATATCTCTTTAGCCTTAATATTTTTGTTTTATATATGTGGGTCCTCCATTGGTGAGTGAATATATGTTTACAATATTTATATACTTTTGGTGACTTGATTCTTTTTTTTTTTTTTTTTTTTTTGAGACAGAGTCTCGCTCTGACGCCCAGGCTGGAGTGCAGTGGTGCGATCTTGGCTCACTGCAACCTCTGCCTCCCGGGTTCATGAAGTTCTCCTGCCTCATCCTCCTGCGTAGCTGTGATTACAGGTGTGCACCATCATGCCCAGCTAATTTTTGTATTTTTGGTAGAGACGGGGTTTCACCATGTGGGTCAGGCTGGTCTGGAACTCCTGACCTCGTTATCTGCCCGCCTCGGCCTCCCAAAGTGCTGGGATTACAGGCATGAGCCACCACACCTGGTCAATCCTTTTTTCATTATATAATAACCTCACTTAATTATTTTTATGTTTTTTGAATTAAAGTCTATTTTATGTGAGATAAGTTTAGGTATTCCTGTGCACTTTTGGTTTCCCTTTGTGTGCAGTGTCATTGTCTTCACACATAAAGAGAGACTTTGTAGGCAGCATATACTTTGGTATTTTTTAAGTCCATTTAGCTGGTCTAGATATTTTAATTGGGGAATTTATATCATTTAAATTCAAGGTTATTACTGATAGATGGGAACTTCCTCATTTTGTTACTTGTTTTTTTATTCTTTTATATATATTCTTCATCATTCTTCTTCTCTTATTGTTTATCTTTGTAATCTTTTGATTTTCTGTGGTGATAACGTTTGATTTCTTTATCCTTCTTTAGGTATCTGTTCTACCAGTTAATTTTATACTTTTATGTGTTTTCATGATAATAAATGTCATCCTTTTTCTTCTACATGTAGGACTCCCTTAAGCATTTAATGTGAGGTCAGTCTAATGGTGATTAATTCCCTCAGTTTTTGCTTGTTTGGGAAATACTTTTTATTTATCTTCATTTCTGAAGGAGAGTTTTGCTTAGTATGGTACTCTTGGCTGACTTTTTTTTTTTCTTTCAGCACCTTGAATTTATCATCCCATTCTCTCCAGACTCCTGAGGTTTCTGCTGAGAAATATGTCATTAGTCTAAGGGGATTTTCTTATATTTGACTTGCTGATTTTCTCTTGCTGGTTTTAGAATTCTCTTTTGGTCTTTGAATTTTGGCAATTTGCCTGTAAAATGTCCTGAGAGGACATGGTCAGTTCAATCTATTTGAGAGTATTTGAGATTCCTGTATCTGGATGTTTATATCTCCTCCAAGACTGTGAACATTTTCAACTATTATTTTATTATGTAGATTTTCTATGCCTTTTCTCATCTCTTCTCCTTCTGGAACTCCCAAAATTCAAACATTTGTTCACTTGTTGGTGTCCAATGTATCATTTATGCACCCTTCTTTCCTTCTCTGGGAAAATGTAATTGTGTGGCCTTCAGCCTTCAGGCCTGTACTAGACTCAGAGTTGCTGAGGGTTGAGGGACTCTCACATAGCTAGAATTGCAGGCATCTGTGGTGGGAATGTGGACGATTGGGAATCTCTTGCTTACCCTTCCCCTGCAATGGAAAGTCTCTCCTAGCTTTCAGCATATCACAGCTGAATGCTTTGCTTACCTCTCTATGGTGCAATCTTAAGTTCCCATGCCTCACAGGTTCCTGTCAATTTCCTGCTGAATTCCAGTGTTCTTCCTTATACACTCTACTTGATGTTTGCTTATCTAATCTTTTCATCATTCTTCATGGATAAGGGGAATGTTGGATTCTTCTAGTCAGCCATCTTGATGGTGTCTCTCTAGAAATGCTTTATTTTACAACGTTATTTAATTTTCATTGCCAAATTTATTTCTTATTTAATTGCATTTTACTGAGTATGACCTAATAATATTGATGATTTGACATTGTATTAAAATTTGCTTAATGTACTAATATATGTGATCTTTTAATCCATGTATTCATTAAATACATTATCTTTGCATATTGGTTACAAAGTTCTATATATTGCTCAGAGGCAATGGGCAAAATATTTGAAAACCAGTGCTGTGTTGGTCCAGCCAATAGTAATGCATGTTCTATCAGTCAGAACGGCTACTGGCACCTACATTTTACCACAGATGGTAGCTGAAATTAGTTCTGTACATATATATATCAGTTAGAAAGACTGTGTGAATCCTGTTGTTTGGGTCTTATATATTTTCACTGTTTTTCATAGGCTTAGCTTATAATTATAATTGAGGAAATTGGGGTTGAAATCTTTTAATGTGATGTTGAATTTGACAATTTCTCACAAATATGTTTGTCAATTTTAAAAATTATTGTGAAGGTACTTTTAAAATCTTATGTTTGAAATAATTACATTATCTTAATGAATAGGATTCTTATTACTTGGCAATTTACTTTATACTCATTAATGGTTTGTTTTTAGTGTACTTTTAAAATTTATTGTCTTTATATGTTTTGTATCTCTGGAGTTTTTTTTTGTTTTTGGTGTTACTCATCTTTTTTTATTATAGATCAAAATTTCACCAGAGTTGTACTTAAATAAGAAAGTTAATATTTTACCATTAAATATGTCTAATTTTAATCTACTGTTTATCCATATCAATTTTGACCATTGCTTTATAATTTTTTTTAGGTATTACTTTTTATTATTGTGGTAGATAGCTCTTAAGTATTGTGCTTTTTAACTGTTATTAGTTGGTATATATAACATAGGAATTTTTATATGCCTATTTTATCAATTTTCTATTGTTTAATATTATAATACTACTAGATTATATTGATAAATAAATAGTTTTGTAAGATGTATTGAATAAAGTTAATGATAGAGGGCTATCTTGTGTTTTTCATTTTACTTTGTCTTTTTTTTTATGCTTTTCTATTTTCATTTTTGGTATGGTACAAATAACCTACCAAAGACTTAAATATAAATATATTAAGATTTAAGCAGACATACAAACACATTTTATGGTTGCACATTCCTCCACAGATTCAACATTAATAGTATTCTTGACAATTGTTTAGACAATTATTTTTCTAGTGTGCTTAGTTAAATGAGGCCAAGAGGAATTCTCTGGAAATCAAGGCACAATTAATTTTAAAGCATTTGTTTTTGCTGTTTACCTGTAAATATAAAACACAAAAAGATCTAATTATATCAAATACACTTGTTTCTCAGGGCCAGTCTGCTTGGCCTCCTAAAGAAAAACGATAAAACAAAGTGAGTCTTTCAATGTCAACAAGGTCTATCAACCAGTGTTACAAGTATGTATGTCTAAGACACCTCAAGGTTATAAACCAAATTCCTAAAAGTTCAGGTTTATTGCTTCATACTGAGTCACTTTAAAACCTCTGAATCCCATAGGGAAACTTTTATTTCAAAATCAATGTTGGAGTTGTTTGAAGAGAAGAGAACTATCTCTCAACCAATGCCCTATCAGTTAGAAAGGATTACAGGTATTTGAAATAAACTTCTAAGGAGCTTTTCAAAATTTGGAGAATGGTCACAAAAGCTGCCTTTTATGTATCATCCACAGAAATATCTATGAGTTTACATACACATAATTAGCAAACATTGTCATTAAGGACTTTTACAGACTTTGGGTGAAAGCATTTTTGTTTGTATAAAATAAGGTATCAATTTGTTCTACTTACTCTAGTAGACAGCCAGGAATACTGCATATTCTGCAATTTTGATTCACACTTAGAAAAAGAGGGAGCAAAATTGCTTTAAATCTACCACTGCCACAAATTTAACATTTAAAAAGTAGTTACATACATTTAGGAGGTATCCATGCACACTTTGAGGAATAGTAACGTGAAGACATCAAAAATACTCATTTAACCTCAATTATATGCACAAGTTTGTGATTTAATGTGACTATATAGTGCTAACAAGACATGATGTTTCTTCTTCAGAGATCATCCTTCAGCTAAGATATAAAAACCACCTGTTATGATTGGACTGTTTGTCTCTACCCCCAAGTTTATGTGATGAAATCCTGACCCCCAAAGTGATGGTATTAAGAAAAGAGGCCTTTGGGAGGTGTTTAGTGAGGGAAGAGCCCTGATGAATGGAATTCATGCCTTCATGAAAGAGACTTCAGAGAGCAGCTTTGCCCTTCCAACAGGTGAAGACACAGGGAGAAGCTATCAGTTTGCATCCCAGAAGAGGGCCCTCCCCAAAATTTGACCATGCTGGCCTCTTGATCTTGTACTTTCCAGCCGCAAGAACTGTGAGAAATAAATTTCTGTTGTTCATAAGTGAGCCAGTTTACTGCATTTTATTATAGCAGCCTAGATAGACTAAGAAACATTCTGCTTTTTTTCATTAACACTAAATGCTGACTTGGGATTTCTTAAACGTATGAGGCAATGCTATTTTATCTTAATTTTATTTTCATTATTTTTATATACTTGATTTAAAATAGTCAATATTTTATTAAATATTGTAAAATAATATGCCTGACTTATAAAATGTTAGAAAGATTAACTTATTTACACAATGGAGTTTTAAAATAGAACATTGCCATGCTGTTTTCCTGTGACATTCCTTCTGGTTTCTGATTATGATGTAAACCTGCATGAATGTAATACAAAAAAAAAAGGTCAGATTTCTTTTGCCTTTTAACTTTATATAAACAGAATATTTGTGAGGAGTTATACTTGCTGTTGTCCTCTTCAATTAGGAACCATGAGATCCATTATGTCATGTGTAGTTATATACTTTATTCATGTTACCGTTGTTTATTATTTCTTTCAGTTTTCAATTTTGCCAATAGAATTATTGTAAAATAATTTCTTATTGTGCGTTAATTTCATTTCTTATTAAAATTCAGTTATGCAAATTGTCAAATATTTACTTGTCATTTGTGTGTCATTGTCTATGAAATAATTGTTCATGTCATTCCCTATGTCAGTTCCATGTTGGTGAATTTTTGTAATTGATTTATATATTTGGAGTGTTTTTCCCCCTTGGTAATACATATGGCATGTATTTTCTCTTCATTTGTGGTTTGTCCTTTTCATCTGAACAGAAATTTATAAGTTTTTATTTTCAAATGAGTATTATTATCCCTAATTATGTACTCTTTTTGTACTTACAGGAAACATTTTTTTCTCTTTTCTTAAGTAATAAAGATATTCTCATGGTTTTGTTTCCAAAATAACAGATTTGCTTTTTGCATTTAATTCCTTCACTTATCTAGAATTGCCTTTGGTAAATGGTCACAATATTCAAATATTTGCTTGGATGTTTCCTCAAAAAATTAAAAAGCTACATACTGCTTTGCAAAATATATGTGATGTTTTATAAAGTGTAAATAGCTGCAAAAGATGTTTTGGCATTTTGTAAATTATAGCTTTTAAAAAAATTATGTCAACTTTTAAATTGTCTCCAATAAATCAAAATATTATGGCAATTTAATATCCACATTTATCAAATTAAAAAATTAGCAACAAGAGCATATTTAACATTTAGATTTTTTTGCCTTGTTTCATGTACTCAGTATTTGATATGTCTTATCACTGAAATTATTTTAATCACTTATATATTACTGCAACAAAAATGTGAATATTATTTTAAATAACATTTTGAGACATTTTGTTTTACTGAAGCTCTATACAAGTTAAAATGTTTTAGGATGTTTTCACTACATTTGAATTACTGTGAGTATAAAAAATATAATGACATACATTTTGATACTTATCTAAATATTTACTAAATATGAGAGGTAAAATATAAAATTGAAATTATCTTTTATGAGTTGGAGGAAGCTTTTATTTAGTTAGTTCATATATCTCTGGGTGATCATTACTTATTGCTAGATTACTATTCCTAGTTTTCTTCATCATACATGTAAGTGATGGGAAAATTTGTGTATTTGAATGGGGAGATAAAAATAAATGAAGCTCTGTAATATGAATTGTTACTCAATTATTTAAACCTTTTTTTTTTTCAAATTATTTACCAAATAACATAGTGGTTTCTTACAAAACCTATTTTTAATGTAATATCAGCTGACAACTTGATTACTTCCTCCTTCAGTTTTATTGATAGCAAGAAATTGGAAATGACCTAACTTTCAAAAAGATTTGTTACCTAGTCATGAAGATCAATTACACTCTCAGTGTCTAGGAATTATACATAAAAGGCTCTACAAAGACTTTTCAAAAGACTATTAATTTTTCCCTTAAATTCTTTCTCAACTAGAGGCAACATATTTAATATGATACACTAAAAATATATCAGAAATAAGATTAAAATATAATTAATTCTAATATACTCTTGTCAATACAATATATATTTGAATTAATGCCTTCATCTAATTCCCTGTTTTAAATATACTTCAGTCAGAATCATGGAGCCATCATTGAATTCAGTTAGTTTATGGGAAATGATGGTCATATAACCTAACTTGCAAAGTCAATCCTTGTCAAACAAATCAGCCAAATGGTATTTACTTTCTGTCAGAAAGTAACATAAATGTGTTAATAAGCTTCCCCTTGGCACCCATTAAGCTTCTTATTCCCAATTCTAAGATAGATAAATCCCTAGCATGACTCTGTGGTCTAGATCTTTAAAAAGGGCTACATCTTCAACTTTTTTTTTTTTTTTTTTTTTTGAGACAGAGTCTATTCCGTCGCCAGGCTGGAGTGCAGTGGCGTGATCGCGGCTCACTGCAGTCTCTGCCTCCAGGTTCCAGCCATTCACCTGCCTCAGCCTCCCTAGTAGCTGGGATTACAGGTGTGCACCACCACGCCTGGCTAATTTTTTGTATTTTAGTAGAGTCGGGGTTTCACCGTGTTGGCCAGGATGACCTGGATCTCCTGACCTCGTGATCCACCCACCTCGGCCTCCCAAAGTGCTGAGATTACAGGCATGAGCCACAGTGCCCGGCCTTTCTTTTTCTTTTTCTTTCTTTTTTTTTTTTTTTTTGAGATGGTGGTCTTGCTCTGTCACCCAGGCTGGAGTGCAGTGGCGCAATCTCGGCTCACTGCAAGCTCTGCCTCCCGGGTTCACGCCATTCTCCTGCCTCAGCCTCCCAAGTAGCTGGGACTACAGGCTCCCGCCACCACGCCCGGCTAATTTTTTGTATTTTTAGTAGACACGGGGTTTCACCATGTTAGCCAGGATGGTCTCCATCTCCTGACCTCGTGATCCACCCGCCTCAGCCTCCCAAAGTGCTGGGATTACAGGCATGAGCCACCGCGCCCGGCCACATCCTCAACTTATAAGTTCTCATCCTCTCTCTCTATCTCTGTCTCTTTCTCTACCACCCCCTACCACCCCCTACCCATTTTCCCTCTTCCCTTGTTGTTTCATAGGATTTCCCCCGAGAAGTGGTACACACAGTATTTAACAATAATTTGGAAATAAAAGAACCAAGATCTCCATCATTCCTTTGCTCCACTTGAAGTAAACGTTGAAGAGCATTTTAATATAGAACAAAATGTTGTATTTATCATGTTAAGCTTTTTTCTTAACAAAAGGGATAAACAATATTAAATCACATAGGCCTTGCCCTACAGACATTTTTAGCTTTTCGTTCCTTCCCTTTAAGTAATTACAGGCTTTGGGTAGCCATGGGCAAGAAAGAGGGCAGGTAGTAAGTTTCTTTAGCCTTTGTCTTTTTTTGCTTTTAAGCTGGCTCAGTTATGACAGCTGCTATGTCAATTATATTCTTGGGGAGTTGACTATATTGGGATATTTTCTTTCAATAACTTGCATACAGCAAGTGCAGCTATGATCTTATCAAATCATATCTGAAGCAATTATTTTGGCTGTATAATACTCTTGTAATTGCTTAAAAGAATGATGAAATAACAGGCTTTTTAAAACATTGTGTAAAAGTAACAATCTTCTGTCCTCTTAAGGTAAGCTCAAGAAATGTCCAGCATATTTTCGCTGTTATAGCTATTGATTTTATCAATGTATATTAGATTGGTTCTCTTACACAGTCTATTAATTATATCAATACACTGCCAGTCTATTTTGTGTGAACCATAATAATACAGAATTTCTTTTTTCATGTCTCAATATTTCTTATAACCAAAATATTGTTTTCCAAAATAAAAAATAGGGTCATCTGTCTGACCAGATTAGTCCTCATCCTTTTCCTTGTATTGGATTTCCCAGTTACCAGTCCAATTTTTCACTGATGAAACACTTACAAGAAATTTCTTTCTTAGAATCTTTAGTACACTCTTGATCTATTAGAGAATTCTTGTAAGAATGCATTGCTCACAGAGGAATTAATTTCTCAGAGAAAAAACTGTTAAAAAACACCCTGAATACTCATATCTGAGTCTTACAAACTAAAATAAATGAATATCATAATCAGAGTTTATTATAGTTTTTCACCTTGTTTAAACTTTGTAAGTCTGAAATTTAAACTCTCCTTCATTCTCAGGTTTTCATACATGAAAACTTTTTTTTCTCCCATATTCTGGATGTTGATAATAGAATTGTATTTTGGATTTTTCTCCTATAGCAGTAACTTTTCTGGTTGGAAGAGTTTCTTTTTGTGTTGATTTTTAGTTCATGTTCTTGTTGGGAGGGGTGAGTAGACAGATTAGGGAAGGGGTATGCATTAGAAATAGTGTGAGTAAAAAACAACTTACATATTTGCTAATGCATTCCTTTGGGATGTTAAATATGTGTCTCGAAACAATAAAGCTTGTTGAACTCACATTTTTCACATATTCTTTGTTTCAGTTTACATTGGCCTAAAAGCGGGTGTCTTTTTTTTATAGACACATTTATTTTGAGTTGCATAATACAGAATTGTGGGAAATATTCACAACAGATTTGCAAAACATGTTAATATGATCTTATTCAGAGTGCATCTTAGAAGCAACTCTTACAATATTTTTATCTTCCTAGATTTCTTCCCAATATTAATATAGTTCCTCTAGTGTTCCCATTGCAATCGAAATTTTTATAAAGCCAAATTTCCTAGCCTTATTTTTAAACTACTTATGTACAGTTTAAATTCACATTATGTAATTGATTGGGAGAGCCTACTTAGGTTTTTATCCTTTTTTTAAACAAAGTCTGAATGTTGAATTATTTTATATATCACTTTGACAGTTTAGGATGCGTTCACTATCTTACTTGAGTCAAAGAACAGATACTATCACACATTTATTATTGAGTTTTATACCTAAGGAAACTGAGGCTTGTTGGGAGACAGTTAATGGGTCTCTCATATTTCTGCATGTCTTGTGAGCAGAGGCACTAGCTTTTTTTTGTTCCAGACCATCTTTTTAAAGATATGTGTATAGCAAACATCTTTAAACAAGAGGATTTTTCTTTGGAGCAGAGGTTAGGTTTGTTTACTATTCAGTATAGTAAAGATCATGTCCCCTCTAAGCAAAGGTCAAACAAGTTTTCTTACAGCCCATTATAAAAACTTGGAGTTTTCAAGCTTAGGGCTCCTCTGCTGTGTTGCAAACACAGTGCACGTGCAGCATTCACCTAGACTGCTCTGTATCACAGGGGAAACTGCAAAGATGGGTAAAAAGTCTTTTGTCTCTGACCAAGGGTCTTCATATCATTCACAAGCATTCATAAAACTGTGGCAGGCTTGCAGATCAGGTCAAATATCAGGCCCCTCACAGTATATAACAAGGGTCAGAGAAAATAAGTGCCATTAGAAATACTGGAGCTAATTATTGCTATTACTACCCTTATCATTTTCCTATAATTATGTAATCTCGTAACTATTGTTTTCTGAAATATATATCTTTATTAAAATAATGAGTTTCTGTTCTAAAAAATAATTAATAGTCCAGTAATTTCTTGTGTTTTTAAGACTAATCAAGTGATGAGTGCAATAATTCCTTATTCATTGACTTAAAAACATTGTCTCTAAATGAGTTAATTATAGTTTTAAGGTTGAATAATTCACTTGTATAGTTTGGTGATTTTTTTAAATAAAAAACAGATAGTGAAGAGAAAAATTAAAAGTGATATATCACATATCATTTTTCATATAGTCTTTTTGAGCATATTTATTTTCATCTAGTTGAGCTCATGCCTCAAATTTTATTATTAAAAACAATTTATGGCTGCATAAATGTCTTCTTTTGAGAAGTGTCTGTTCATGTCCTTTGCCCACTTTTTGATGGGGTTGTTTGTTTTTTTCTTGTAAATTTGTTTGAGTTCATTGTAGATTCTCGATATTAGCCCTTTGTCAGATGAGTAGGTTGCTAAAATTTTCTCCCATTTTGTAGGTTGCCTGTTCACTCTGATGGTAGTTTCTTTTGCTGTGCAGAAGCTCTTTAGTTTAATTAGATCCCATTTGTCAATTTTGGCTTTTGTTGCCATTGCTTTTGGTGTTTCAGACATGAAGTCCTTGCCCATGCCTATGTCCTGAATGGTAATGCCTAGGTTTTCTTCTAGGGTTTTTATGGTTTTAGGTCTAACATTTAAGTCATGAATCCATCTTGAATTAATTTTTGTATAAGATGTAAGGAAGGGATCCAGTTTCAGCTTTCTACATATGGCTAGCCAGTTTTCCCAGCACCATTTATTAAATAGGGAATGCTTTCCCCGTTGCTTATTTTCTCAGGTTTGTCAAAGATCAGATAGTTGTAGATCTGTGGCATTATTTCTGAGGGCTCTGTTCTGTTCCATTGATCTATATCTCTGTTTTGGTACCAGTACCATGCTGTTTTGGTTACTGTAGCCTTGTAGTATAGTTTGAAGTCAGGTAGTGTGATGCCTCCAGCTTTGTTCTTTTGGCTTAGGATTGACTTGGCAATGGGGGCTCTTTTTTGGTTCCATATGAACTTTAAAGTAGTTTTTTCCAATTCTGTGAAGAAAGTCATTGGTAGCTTGATGGGGATGGCATTCAATCTATAAATTACCTTGGGCTTAATTTTTCAGCAAGGCTCTATGGCATTCATGCTTGTACAAGAGGCAGATACACGTGGATTATTCATTTCACTCTGTTTCCATAAGTTGCATCATCTAGCATCAGCATCATAACTAGCTCTGTGTACCTAGTGTGTGCTCGGCATTGATGTATGAATGACTAGCATAATCTCCCTGTTGCTTATATAATTCTAGTGAATAATAATGCAGTTTTCTATAATGTTTAAATATTGGCTTGTTTCTTAATACTTTTTTATTATTTTCTGATCACCAATAAAAATATCACCAATTCCTGAAAAATAAATAAAATAAAAATAAATAAAAACAATTTATGCCAATTTGGGTCTCAGAAATATATGAGGTTAAATAAGAACTTCGTTAGTTTTATGTTTTTTTCACTTACTACCATACTCCAAACATTTTAATATAGTAAAATGATTGTTAATAAACAGTGCATGTTATTCTATCAACTGAATACAGAATAATTTATTTAGTATTTTGTTATTATTAAACATTTTATCTGTTTTATTCTCTACCATAAAAATAATACTGTCATAACACTTTTTGTGCATATTTATTCACAACTTCAGTAAAATTATAGAATACATTCTCAGCAGCAAAATTGCTTGCTCAAATTTTAAATATACTTAGAATTTTTTAAGTATATTGCTTAAGATTTATTCAGAAATGTACTATTTGACCTTGAGTATAGAAAAATATATATCTTACTAATATGGCAGGTGAAAGGTGGAGGTTACACTTGGCTTCCTTTGGGTTTTTAGTTTGTGAGGTTAAACATGAAAATCATGTTAATCAGCCATTTATTTGTTAGTCATTTTTGTAAATTTTTTGTTCTTGTTTTACCAGCTGTAATGCTATTTTATCTCTCTCCATTATGATCAATATTTCTTCATCTGACTACATAAATTATGGAAAAGGAAAAGGGATTGTATACTAAAATAAATCCTATATGTTAATCTCTGTAACCTACATGCTCCTTTATAGTATGCACTTTTTGTGTTCAGATAATGTCTGTGAGCTACTTTCATGTTATTGCTTGTATTTGAAGCTTATTTTTTTATTGTTGAGTAGCCCATAGCATGTACATATCATACTTTTTCATTATTGGTGGCCATAATATCAATGTTATAAAAATAAATAGAAGTAATGAAAATTTGGAATGCATTGCCACAATTGTGATGTCTATAAACAGATAGTTATTTTTAGTTCTATAATTATATAATTCTATAACTTGATTGCATTCTTGAGTCTTCATTTGTGTATGCAGTCAGCACAAAATTTTCAACTCAGGTACAGAGAATTTTGTGCTTTTAAATTTGCTATTGAGTAAATCATCAATTTAAAATTTTTAGATAGATCCAAATTTTACCTGAAGCACATCAAGGATATTTTCTTCTCTCTTACATCATCATGAATAAAAGTGCATTTTAACTTCATAGCTTTGCATCTGTAATAAAGGCCAATAGTCCTTGTCTGGTCTATAGTTTCCCTTGTATTTGTTTACCGTGATGATTTACAAAGATGATTGGACTCATAGTCTGTTTTCTCAGCATAGATAAAACCAAGCATTAGTTCTAGCATGGGATAATGGATGCATGTTTAAAATATTTTAGAAAAGGCCAGGCGTGGTGGCTCATGCCTGTAATCTCAGCACTTTGGGAGGCCAAGGCAGGCAGATCACAAAGTCAGGAGTTCGAGACCAGCCTGGCCAAAATGGTGAAACCCCGTCTCTACTAAAAATACAAAAATTAGCTGGGCGTGGTAGTGCACACCTGTAGTCCCAGCTATTCAAGAGGCTGAGGCAGGAGAATTGTTTGAACCTGGGAGGCGGAGATGCAGTGAGCCCAGATCGTACCACTGCACTCCAGCCTGGGTGACAGAGGGAGACTCTGACCCCCCAACCCCCCAGAAAAAAAATGAAAAAGTTTTAGAAAATATTGATATTAAATATGCAAATGTAATAATTTTACTGGTTTGACAAATGCGTGAACCTTATAAACCACCACTTATTTCAGATATACAGTATTTGACCAACCCAGAGAATATTTTCATGCCTCTTGCCAGTAATTTCCTTGAAAAGAAACTGCTTTTCTGATTTTTTCTAAATCATAGGTAATTTTTTCCTATTTTATATCTTCATAAGTGTGAATTATTCATTATATATTCTTGTCTGAATTCTTTGTCTAGGACATCGTCCATGAAGTGCTTTCACGTCATTGAAAGAATCTGTCATCTATTTCTCATTGTTGCTGAGTACTCATCTGTAGTGTGAATATTCCACAGTTTGCTCCCCTGGATGGACACTGGGTCATTTCCAGCTTGGGTTAAGAATAAAGTCAGCTGGGTGCGGTGGCTCACACCTGTAATCCCAGCACTTTGGGAGGCTGAGGCAGGCAGATCACCCGCAGTCAGGAGTTCGAGACCAGCCTGGCCAACGCAGTGAAACCCCGTCTCTACTAAAAATACAAAAATTAGCCGGGCGTGGTGATGGGCGCCTGTAGCCTCAGCTACTGGGGAGGCTGAGGCAGAAGAATCGTTCGAACCCGGGAGGCTGAGGTTGCAGTGACCTGAGATCATGCCATTGCACTCCAGCCTTGGTGACAGAGTGAGACTCCATCTCAAAAAAAAAAAAAAAAAAAAGTCTGTATGAACTTTTTTACATAAGTCTAGTATGTGTTGCTATGGCTTGAATTCTCCTATAATTCACATGGGGAAGAACTGATCCTCAGTATCTCGGGATGTGACTGTATTTGAAGATAATGTCTTTAATCAAGTAAGGTTAAATTGTTACAGGTAGTTAGGCGTGAGCGGGCAGGAGAGGGCTCTCCCCGCCACCCACTAGAAGTCTTGAGTGATGGTTCAGTAATTGTTGCATTGCCTCTCTAAAAGTGATACATTGGCAGCCGGTGCTAGGGAGAGGCCATTCAGTGATGGTCCACACCTGTTAACGTTAAAAACTGTTAATTAGAGGCAGACCTCATGGAGAAGAAATTTCCTGGGCGTGCACATTAACAGACAAAAATAGCGGAGTGTGATCTTCGGCGTATCCTCTACCTGAAAAAGGAAGAAAGCCTCAGATAAGCATGCGTACAATTTACTGAACACACTACATGAGCTCACTTCCCAAGGGTAAGAAGGGCTCTGGCCGGGCGCGGTGGCTCATGCCTGTAATCCCAGCACTTTGTGAGGCCGAGGCGGGCGGATCACGAGGTCAGGAGATAGAGACCATCCTGGTTAACACGGTGAAACCCCGTCTCTACTAAAAAAAAAACACACACAAAAAAATTAGCCGGGTGTGTTGGCGGGCGCCTGTAGTCCCAGCTACGCCGGAGGCTGAGGCAGGAGAATGGCGTGAGCCCGGGAGGCGGAGCTTGCAGTGAGCCCCGAGATCACGCCACTGCAAGAATCCAATCAAGGGAAAGAGGCTATAAAGGTCATAGCATCACGGTTAAACGGGGCTTTTTACCTTCTTTAATCTTCATGAGCCCTCTTGGATCTCTTCTAAGTGAACTTTCCTTTCTTTCCTGTTCTAAGGCCTTTTAAGTAAACTTCCACTCCTGCTCTAAAATGTGCCTAGGTCTCTTGTTCTGCTTTATGCCCCTCAGTCTAGTTGTTTCTTCTGAGGAGGCAAGATTTAAAGTTGCGGCCGACCTGTGCGGATTTGCTACTGGTAACTCCTGGTAACTCCGGTCTCTTCCACCACTAACAAAATGAGGTCCTTGAGGTGGGCTCTAATTCAGTATGACCGGTATCCTTACAAAGAGGAGATGAGGACCTAGGCACACTCAGAGGAAAGATCGCTTGAAGACACAAGGAGAAGATGACACTGTACAAGCTAAGGAAAGAGGCCTCAGAAGAAACCAACCCTGCTGACACCTGGGTCCTGGACTTCTATCCCACAGAACTGTGAGTAAATACACTTCTGTTATTTAGACCATGCAGTCTGTGATACATTGTTATGGCAGCTTTACCAAACTAATACATGTGAATATACATATATGTTTTAATTTATCTATGAGGAAATATGTAGGAGTGGAAATTGTTGAATTGTATATTGCTGTACTTGCAATTATTCAAGAAATGGCCACAATTTTTTTCCAAAGGGTTTAAACACTTTTGAAATTCAAGCAGCAATATATGAGCCCTCCAATTATTCCACATCTTCTGTAATATTTAATATTGTTTGTTTTAACTATAGCCATTTCGCTGTGTGTGTCATTGTATTTCACTGGGACTTTAATTTATATTTTCGTATGACAAATGATGTTTAGAACTTTTCTATGCACATCCATATATCTTCATTTGGAAGGTGTTTCTTTCAGTGTGCTTCCCACTCTCTATTGGCTTGCTTTCTCTTTTATTATTGAGTTGTAATATTTCTTTATAAAATCTGTATAACATTTCTATCAGATATGAACTTTACCATTTTTTTTTTTTCAATTTTGTTGCTTGAGTATTCACTTTCTGAGTGAAAGGGAATGGGAGAAGAAGGCATTAGCCCAGTCTATAATGGCACACCAGCCTCCTGGGCCTGTAGCGTTTTTGTATGGTTCTCATCACATCAGACATAAGCATAGCAATTGGAGGGACCACCTTGGTTAGTTCTTCACATCCCATTGTTAAACTCTAGGAATTGTCTGCCTTATATACTGGTCAGATCAAAATGCTGAACAAGAATAGTGGGAATCCAGACTCTTACCTCAGCCGTTTTCTTAAAGCGGTAATCTTTTGCTGCCTTTGGGAATACTATACTGCTTAGTCTTTACTAGCAAGGAAGGTTCATGCAACTCCAAAATTTCCCATTTAACAGGGACAATTAAAACTGGATAAGAGTGGGCTTAGCAGATAACCCCTAAGGAAAGAAAACCGCAGTACACTCTTTTCACGCATATCAGCTATTTCAAATATGCATTTAGGTAAAGGCTAATTAATCCCTGAAAAAATCTCTCCAGTCACATTTTGTGGTTTGTACCTTTACAATGCATTTGTTCCAAGTCTATCTCTGAACCCATCAAGTTCCATGTTAGTACCTTTCAGCACTTTTCCCATCTTTTGTAGGGTTTGCTGTCCACTGAACCCCAGCATCTTACAATTTTGAGAAGTTTCACATATCACCTCTTGGTCATTTCATCCAAATCATTGAGCATTTCCTATATATGATTAGTGATGGCACTAATACATAATTAGGAATGATACTAATTTCTGTAGTTCTGCAGGAATGAAATTGTGTTTCTGGTTTCTGACATTGCTAAAGTGGGGAAATTCCAGGGGTTTCTACTTCATCATTTCCACCATATTGGCCATTTCTCCATGGGTCAGAGAGTCAATGTGGATATTCTGAAAATTGCCGAATATTCCAATTAATATAACTTCAATGATACATTCAGGAAATGAGGAAATAACCACAGAGTGAGTCCCTACCTGGCCCCACGTGAGTTGAATTTTGACTCAGACTCCGTCTATCACCTGACACCAAAAGTACACACTTTGCCTAGTGAACCACACTGGCATTTTTGACATTCAGGAATTAGTGTCAGTTCAGAGCCAGCATCTACTAATCTTTGAAAGGTCTTGATATCTTTCTTCCCATTGCGCATTCACTCTAGTAAATGGGCCCTAGTTCCTTAAAGGAAGATTCATGATCTATGCTGTGGCAAGGCTGTCAGGTCTTTCTTTGTATGGACCTGGCTTCCCTTTTAAATTTTAATAAACTGCTTTTGAAGTTTTAAATTTACAGAAAAATTACACTTTAGAATTCTCATATACCTCGCACAATTTCCCCTATTAACATCTTAACTGATCTGGTTAACTTGTTATAGCTAATAAGCCAATATGGAAACATTATTATTAACTAGAGTTTGGAGTTCAAATTTCCTTCTTTTTTAGTTTTGGCATTTTTTTTTTTTTTTTTTTGAGATGGAGTCTCACTCTGTCACCCAGGCTGGAGTGCAGTGGTGTGATGTTGGCTCACTGCAACCTCCGTCTTTAGGGTTCAAGCAATTCTCCTACCTCTGCCTACTGAACAGCTGGGATTTCAGGCATGTGCCACCACACCTGACTAATTTTTGTATTTTTAGTAGAGATGGGGTTTCACCATGTTGGCCAGATTGGTCTTAAACTCCTGACCTTCAGTTATCCACCAGCCTCAGCCTACGAAAGTGCTGGTATTACAGGCATGAGCCACAGTGCACACTCAAATTTCCTTAGTTTTATCCCCAATATCTTTTTTCTGTTCCACTATCACATCCAAGATACCACAGTACATTTAATTGTCATGTGTCTTTAACTTAGTTTCTTAGATTTCCTTGTATTTTATGACACCAGCAATTTAAGGCAGTACTGGTTAGGGGTATTATAGAATGCCACTGTGTTGCCTCTGTTGATTTTTGTTTTTGTTTTTATTTTTTGATGTTTTTTCATGACTAGACTGACAATATGGGAGGAAGTTCACAGAAATAAAGTGCCATTTCACCACTCATACCTAGGGTACATACGTCAAGATAATTTAACAATAGTGTCCTTTATCACTGGACTGAGGTGCTTTTATCAAGCTTCAGTGCAAAGTGTCCCTTTTTTTCTTATTCTACTCAGTATACTTTGGAAAAAAGTAACTATATATAGTGTACACACACACACACACACAAATATTCACTTTTTATGCTGTGAAGTTCCAAAGCATCTGACAAATGTATAATGTCATGTATTCACTGTTAAAACAACGTACAGAACCATTTTACCACCTGAAACCCCCTGTGGTTAACCCGTTCATTTCTTCTCAATCCCCAAAACTCTTTGGTAACCACTGATCTTTTTCTTTTCTCGACAGTTTTGCCTTTTCCAGAATGTCATTTAATTGCAGTCGTGTGCTATGTAGCCTTTCAGACTTCTTTTGCTTAGCAGTGTACCTTTTTCATGGTTTCATAGTTGATTTCTTGTTACTGCTTTTTAATTTTCTTACAATTTTCTAGCAATGGCTTGGAACTGCCATGTTTTTTTCTAAGTTGGTAGAAGAGATGTAATTTTTTATATCGTATTCTTCAATTAGTTGCATTATTTCCAGGGCCTTGTGCCTTCATCTTTCTTGGCTCCCTGGTTTGTTTTGCTTTTTTTACTTTATATTTGAGAATTATTTGGGGGTAGATGCCTAGCAGTGGAATTAGTGAGTCATAAGTTGAATACAGCTTTAACTTCATTGAATATTGTCAAATTGTTCTCTAAATTGTCATTCCACGATACATTTCTACGAATAGCACTTAAGAATTCCCACTACTCATCCACACCTGGTATTATTAGATGTTTAAATATTTGCCTATTTAAAAGGTTTGAAATAATCCCTTGTTATTTTAATTTGATTGGCACCTTAGTGAATCTATGCATTATGTTTAAATGTACATATTCACATTTGAGTAATATTGAGTCTTCCTACCTGTGAATATGAAATATCACATTGTTTTGATAGTTTAAATTATTTCATCAGTGTTTTACAGTTTTCTACAAATAGATTTGTACATACTTTTTAGATTTACACCTAAGGTTTTCATGGTTTCCTGTGTGTGCATGTGTGTGTGTGCGTGAGTGTGTGCTGTCAATGGTGTTGAATGGATGAGGTATTCTATAAGTATCAATTAGATCAAGCAGATTGATGGTGATATTTCCTTCAGCTATATCTTTTTTTTTTTTTTTTTTGAGACGGAGTCTCACTCTGTCACCCAGGCTAGAGTGTAGTGGCATGATCTCAGCTCACCGCAACCTCCACTTCTGGGTTCAAGCGATTCTCCTGCCTCAGCCCCCTGAGTAGCTGGGATTACAGGCACCCACCACTACACCTGGTTAATTTTTGTATTTTTAGTAGAGACAAGGTCTCACCATGTTGGCCAGGCTGGTCTCAAACTTTTGACCTCAGGTGATCCACCCGCCTCAGCCTCCCAAAGTGCTGGGATTACAGACGTGAGCCACCGCCCCTGGCCTTCAGCTATATCTTCACTTATTTTCTTATTGCATGATCTGTCCATTAACAATACAGTTGAGTTGAAGTTGCCAACTCTAATAGGGAATTTAAATATTTATCTTCCCAGATATATTCACTTATCCCTCACATTATTGACATGCCATTGTTTTATGAATACATGTTAGGGATTGTTATGTCTCATGGAAAATTGACCTCCTTATTGTTATGTGATATACCTCTTTACTTTTAGTAATTTTCCTTGTTTTAAAACCTTTTTTGTCTAAAATGGTAATATGGCTATTTCACCATTTTTTCAATTATATTAGCATGGTATATCATTTTTGCCCCTTTGTTTGCAACATTTCTTTGTATTTATGGATTTCTTATAGCCAACATAGAGTGGGTTTTGCATCTTACTTTTTGAAATGCACTCTGTCACTGTCTTTTAATTGGTGTATTTGTACCATTCACATATAAAGAGATCATTGATATATACTGTATTAATATCCTTCATGTTTGTAACTGTTTCAGATTAATTTCACTTGTTATTTGTTTTGAATCTCCCACTCTTTTTTCTGACTTTTCTGGTTTTAATTGAGCACTTCCTATAATTCTCTCTCCTTTCTTAGCATAACAGTTATATTTTATTTTTGGCTAGTAGTTACCCGGAGTTTGCAATATATATTTACAACTAATTTAAGTCCAATTTCAAATAGCACTATACTGCTCCCCATGCAGTATACCTTTTAAGAGTATTCCCAAGTCCTCTCTTTAGTTCCTTATAACATGACTGTCACATCCAGTACATTATTATTATTATTAACTTAAAGAAAATGTTAGCCTTTATTTAAACCAAAAATAAGGAAAATAAAATATTTTATTTTACCTTTATTCCTTCTCTTATGCCCTTTCATTTTAGGTAGATTAGAATTCTGACCTATATCATTTTCAATTTCTCCAAAGAATTATTTTAATTTTTCTTATGGAACATGTCTGCTGGTAACTTTTGTCCTTAATTTTTCTTTGTGTGAAGATGTCTTGATTCTTCTGATTTTGAAGGATAATTTTGCTAGACATAGATTTCTAGCTTAGTGTTTTGTTTATATTTCAATGCTTTAAATAGTTTTTTCTTTTTACATGGTTTCTGATGTGAAGTCTAATGAAATTCTTATCCTTATTCCTCGATTGATAAAGTGTGTATTTTTTTTTTCTGTCTTCTTTCAAGATTATCTCACTGTCTTTGGCTTTCTATAGTTTAAATATGGCATAACTCTCTGCAGAATTCCTGATGTTTATCCTGTTTCTATGAGTTTAACCTGTTTCTCTGCGCTCCTGGTTCAGTGGTTTGGTGTCTTCGTTTAATTTTAGAAAATTCTCAGTCACGACTACTTCAAATATTTATTCTGTTCCTTTCTCTTTTGTTTCTCCTTCTGATATTCCCATTACACACAATTATACCTTTAGTAATTGTCCCACTGTTCTGGCATATTCTTTTCTTTTTTTAAAATAAAATTTTCATATTAGTTTAGGAAGTTTTAATTGAGTTATGTTGAACTTCAGATTCTTTTCTTGGCCATATCCAGTTTACTGATGAGCCTATCAAATAATTTATTCATTTCTTTTCCAGTGCTTTTGATTTCCAGCATTGCTTTGATTCTTTTTTAGAGTTTCATGTCTGTGATTACATTACACATCTGTTCTTGCATGATGTTCATCTGCATGTTTCTATTAGAGCCCTTAACATATTAATCACAGTTATTTATATTCCATGGCTGATAATTCCATTCTGTGTCATATCAGATTCTGGGTCTGATGATTGCTTTTTCTCTTTAGGCTGTGTTTTTTTCCTGCCTTTTAACATTTCTTGTACTTTTCTGTTGAAAACCACACAAGATATATAAGGTAATTGGAAGTGATGTAAATAGGCCTTTAGTATGAAGCTTTTTGTTATCCGGCTAGAAACAGATATGTGTTTAACATTTGCTGTAGTTTTCGGTGCCAGAAAAAGTGTCTTTCCTCAATAGTCCTTGTTTATTTCTCCTCTCTTCCTTTATGGTTCCCTAAATAACTCCTTCTTAAATGGAATGTGAGCTGGCAGCTCTTTAAGTTGTCACCCACTGTCCTGGCCGTGGACCCCTGTAGATGTGGTGGTAATTTGTGGAGGAGAGGAAGTGTTCCATAATTTTATGATTACGTTTAAGTTCTTTAGTGGGCTGAGCTCCTGGACTGTAACCTTCAGAATTCATTCTTATCCTTTATTTGTTTCCTGTTATCTAATTCAGGATGCTGAGATGGATGGGAGCTGCCTAATCACAGTTTCCCCAGGTAGGAAAAGGCTCTGGTACAGTTCATTCCCTTGGAGGTTAGGTCTTTGTTATGGAAAACGTGCTGGACACATTTTGAAATGGTGACTGTGTCTCTCATCCTGCCAGAAACACAAGAGTATTTTTCTCAGATCGTTACAATGAGAATCTGGTTGGGGATCCTGGAAGTAATGTCTATGCATGTGTCAGGACCCTGCTAAGACTAGGCTCCCAGGAGTCTTTCAGTCTCAAGCTGGTCTACATTCAACCTCCAGTAAAACTGCCACTTAAGTGTTTTTGCTAGCTTTGCCTCTGGAAGCTTTAGCTTCGAGTAAGGTGGTCTCAGCTGTAACTCTCTGTATTTGCCTGTTTCTTCAGATTCAGGGGTATTAGTGTGTCCAGTGACATCAGTGCTCTGATAAATCTAAGAAAAATTGGTTTTCATTTGACCAGTTTTTTCTAGTTGTAAGGAAAACCAGATTTCTAAGCTCTTATTATAGGATAGCTAAAATTAGAAGTCCTGGACAGATTCTTTTAAAACCTGAGAAAAACAAGCAATGGGGAAAGGATTCCCTATTTAATAAATGGTGCTGGGAAAACTGGCTAGCCATATGTAGAAAGCTGAAACTGGATCCCTTCCTTACACCTTATACAAAAATCAATTCAAGATGGATTCAAGACTTAAACGTTAGACCTAAAACCATAAAAACCCTAGAAGAAAACCTAGGCATGACCATTCAGGACATAGGCATGGGCAAGGACTTCATGTCTAAAACACCAAAAGCAATGGCAACAAAAGCCAAAATTGACAAATGGGATCTAATTAAACTAAAGAGCTTCTGCACAGCAAAAGAAACTACCATCAGAGTGAACAGGCAACCCACAAAATGGGAAAAATTTTTTGCAGCCTACTCATCTGACAAAGGGCTAATATCCAGAATCTACAATGAACTCAAACAAATTTATAAGAAAAAAACAAACAACCCCATCAAAAAGTGGGCAAAGGACATGAACAGACACTTCTCAAAAGAAGACATTTATGCAGCCAAAAAACTCATGAAAAAATGCTCACCATCACTGGCCATCAGAGAAATGTAAATCAAAACCACGACGAGATATCATCTCACACCAGTTAGAATGGCAATCATTAAGAAGTCAGGAAACAACAGGTGCTGGAGAGGATGTGGAGAAATAGGAACACTTTTACACTGTTGGTGGGACTGTAAACTAGTTCAACCATTGTGGAAGTCAGTGTGGCGATTCCTCAGGGATCTAGAACTAGAAATACCATTTGACCCAGCCATCCCATTACTGGGTATATACCCAAAGGACTATAAATCATGCTGCTATAAAGACACATGCACATGTATGTTTATTGCAGCACTATTCACAATAGCAAAGACTTGGAACCAACCCAAATGTCCATCAATGATAGACTGGTTAAGAAAATGTGGCACATATACACCATGGAATACTATGCAGCCATAAAAATGATGAGTTCATGTCCTTTGTAGGGACATGGATGAAATTGGAAATCATCATTCTCAGTAAACTATCGTAAGAACAAAAAACCAAACACCGCATGTTCTCACTCATAGGTGGGAATTGAACAATGAGAACACATGGACACAGGAAGGGGAACATCACACTCTGGGGACTGTTGTGGGGTGGGGTGAGGGGGGAGGGATAGCATTGGGAGATATACCTAATGCTAGATGACGAGTTAGTGGGTGCAGTGCACCAGCATGTCACATGTATACATATGTAACTAACCTGCACATTGTGCACATGTACCCTAAAACTTAAAGTATAATTAAAAAAAAAAAAGAATGAAATAACTCCCTTGCTTCCATTTTAATCAAAGGCTCTAAGTCTATTAAGTGACTCAGGTCTGAAAAGTGGGTTAGACAGTATAGTTCTCTATTATGAAAACTTATGTTGGGACTTGACTACTACATTTAGTCTTCCCTCCCGTTCCACCACTTACATAGATCAGGCACTATTGCGGCATGATAATCATCCTTTTCCTTCCTGAGGACAATATGAACAGTTAGCCTGCTCCAGAGATCCCCAAAGTCCCGGATATTCTGATTACTAGTATGACCCTCATGCTATTTATGGTAAGTGATCCCCTCTTGTGGTTAAGTGGCTGTCATTTGGCTTCTGTGACCTCAAGATCCAGTCATCCCATTGAAATCAAGGAACCCATCTCAGTTGTAGCATCTTCCACAGTCATACCTGACTCACAAATCAGAACAACCACTGGGTTTTTAAGTAATGTCCATGCTTCCGTCACTAATATGTATCTCATCAGTTTACTGGAGGGAGTATTTTCTTGGCCTTCTTTTGAGATGTGATTGAGGTTGATGTGTAAGTTGCAGAAACTAAATACATTCCAACCTTTCTATCTCCTGAAGACTTATGATCATTTCCTCCAAATCCAATTTCTGTCAGGAAAAGTCTTTAGTACCAACCACATTAAATGTAGGCCACCTTTAAATATAAGTTTCAGTTAACCAAGCAGGTATTTGCTGGAGCTACTTAAAGCTGCATGAGCTAACAGACTAAATTCAGAATCTTTAGTAAGTGCACATTCTAATTGTTTAATTCTAATCTCCTTGGTCTAACACCCTTGGAATCCACCCTCATACCTGTTCTCAAGGTGTCTGTTGACATATATTTGCAAAATCTTGAAATATTTTGTGTGTAAGCTATTTCCTCTTGGATCATAGTGTGTACCTGGCCTCCAGGATCATGCTGATATTTGATTTTAGCTATGAGTCTGGTGCAAAGAGGAGGTGATAGTGGTGAGTTTGAGAAAAATAAGTATCCCTCTACAAAACATATGCCCTGATGAGGTTATCAATGAGTTTTCAGGAAAGTAAGACCAGTCTCCTTAGACACAGATGACCTGCTACTTCCACTGTCAAGAGAGGCTCAGAGTGACTGAGTCTCAGTTTCAGTGGAGTCCTGTTAAAGCTTTTATTTCAGTTTTCAAGGTCTCATTCCTTTCCAATCAAAACTCTAAATTTCATATGAGAAACTGGACAATATTATAAGTTAAATCAACATTCTAATTCTGTAACCACCACAATTAATTTTATGTTTGATAATTAATAATCTTGGCTCTATGGCTGTAGGAAATGAGAGATTAGCCAGGCACGACTAATTAGCTCACACCAGTAATCCCAATACATTGGGATGCCAAGGCAGGTGGATTGCTTGAGCTCAGAAGAGACCATCCTGGGCAACATAGTGAGAACGTATCTCTACATAAAACACACAAAAAGTTAGCTGACCATGGTGGTGCAAGCCTGTGGTCCCAGCTGCTCAGGAAGCTGAGGTGGGAGGATCACTTGAGCCCAGGATATCAAGGCTATAGTGAGCCATTTTCATGCCACTGCACTCCAGCCTGGGTGACAAAGCAATACCCTGTCTCAACAAAAAAGGAAAGAAAAGAAAGATGGAGGGAGAGAGGGAGGGAGGGAAGGAAGGAAAGAAAGACAAGAGAAAGAGAAAGAAAGGAAGGAAGGAGAAAAGAAGGAGAGGGGAAGAAAAAAAGAAAAGAAGGAAGAAAAAGAGGAAAGAAAGAAAGAAATAGGAAGGAAGGAGAAAAAGAGGGGGAAGAAAAAGAAGAAAGAAAAAAGGAAAAGAAAGAAAGAAGAAAAGAAAGAAAAAAAGAAAAGAGGAGAGGAAGGGAGGGAGGGAGGGAGGGAAGGAAGGAAGGAAAGGAAGGAAGGAAGGAAGGATTACTGCAGTCCTACCGTGGAAGATATCTGGTTCTTAGATCACGATTCAAACTTACAGTTTAATAATCTGAACTGCCAGCAACTAACTTTAATTGTCATATTACTATCATAAACCACAGATAATAACTTGATTAATTATGATGGCAGTGTACACCATAGATTATTACTATCCCATTTTCTATAAGCAAGATGTTCGGCAGGAATGTATCAAAACCAATTCAAAAATTCCATAACTGAGGGACAGTGTTCTAGGTCCACTGTTGGCATGAATTCTGTATCAAAGTTCTTTTAACAGGCTGAAACCATACTGGTTATACAGGCCAGCAGAGATTTGCTAAAATGTAACTTTTCTCAGTTAAGTATTCTCTTTCTTTCTTTCTTTTTTCTTTCTTTTTTTTTTTTTTTTTTTTAAAGAGACAGGGTCTCACTCTGTCACCCATGCTGCAGTGCAGTGGTGTGAATGCAGCTCACTGCAGCCTTGAATTCCTGAGCTCAAGCAATCCTCCCACCTCAGCCTCCCAATTAGCTAGTACTTCAGGCACACACCACCACGCCTGGCTGATTTTTAAAAAACAAACTATTTGTAGAGATGAGATCTTGCTATGTTGCTTAAACTGATCTCAAACTTCTGGGCTCAAGTGATCCTTCCACTTCAGCCTCCCAAAGCAGTGAGATTACTGGGATGAGCCACCACGCCTGGCCATATTCTCTTAACACACTGTTTATAATTTCAACCTTTTGCACATGTCCAGACATCTTTTGATTTATTTCTGTTCAAAATTCTTACTGCCATTTATTAAAGTATATATTATTAGGTGTCACAGGTATTTATTATGCAAAAAATATAAGCTCCACAGTGTCAGAGATGTTGGCCTCCTTTCCTTACTGAATTGTCCCATCTCCAGTAACTGTGACTAGGACTTGGCAGGTCTCAATAAACATTTGTCAAATAAATCTAAGGAACTCTATTCCAAACGAATAAAGAGTGACTCCTAAAGAAGGACAAGCTTGGGTTTCCTTCTCAGGATTAGGACAAATTATATTCCCAGCATTTTTAAGAGACACATGTTTTTAGAAGTTTGATGATATGTTTTACTGAGAGATGAAGCTAAGAAAAATGATATTGCCTGTATGAAAGATTTTTGGCTATAAATATTGAAAGTATTTCTGTGGGGATTCATCAGTCATTTGAGAAAAAGGAAAGAGGCTTTTTAAAAATCATTATTGAATTCTTTATATTAATAATAAAATGTGCTGGTAAAGAGCTGATGATATTGCAATGAAGTAGTACATTTAGAGAATGTTTATATGCTTTTAGCTTCGCTAAACAAGGTAATATTTCTGACACTGAAAATTAATATATCCTTAACATCTTGCTTTAGAAAAATTATTTCATCTGTACATTGCTTATATTTGTCTCTTCCATTGATGTCCTGGCCTTGTTGCCCAGGGCAGAAGGAGTAAAATAGAACTAGTAATGGTATTTTTTGCAAAAAGTAATCAACCATAAAGACTATAATTGGACACACAAATATAGTCATTGCATGATTAATTACTTTGGTGAATCAGCTGCCTATATACATCATAAAAATATTCAAAGGTGACTAGAACATAGTGTACCAAAAGCAGACTTGCCATGAGCATAATCATAGCCATCAGTGGAGTGTTTTCTATATTTCTCAGTTTTCACCATTTTTCTCCCTGCTAATCCTCTACATTCACTACATTTTAAGATTAATGTTTTGATGATTAAGTGGTAGCAAGGCAGACATTAGCTGAGGCAAATGTCTTTTCAAGTTTCCGTCACACACACTAACGATTAAGCTCAACGATTTATTTGGCAATGTGTGCATCTGTTGTTGATTGATATATTACTGAGCTCATTTTTATATTTCAATAATGCATCAGTTGTTTAGTAGGTGATATATCAATATAATTGTTTTCTCAAGTTCAAATCCATTCAATGCCATCTATAAGATTCTGGAAAATACTGCAGAGAATGAAATCATATATATGAAATCTGCTTAAAAGACAGTTTCCTTTTTACTCTGATGTTTTTATATATGGATATGAAGTAAGTAACTTTTGCAGTCATCCTGGAACCTTGATAGAAATCAGCCTGAGAACAAAGCTGACACATTTCTTAAGGCAGATCACAGAGATAAGAATCTTGGTCATGGGTGACATCATTAAGCTCTTGAATGAAATAGAGATAGAATGTGCCCTGAATCTGGACTTTACGCCTCCACAAGCTTCTTCTCTTGTTCAAAAGCCTACAGTGTCTTTCAGTTACACATATGTTCTTATTAAAATCATTTAGATTTACAATGAAAAACGTTCAATTTACTTCTCACAGTCTAACTCAGAGTGATTGTTATATGGTATCAGTACCCCAAACTACTCATTTCAAAATAACGTAAAACTTCCGATATCTTTGTGAGGCAAGAAAATCGGGTCTGGAGGGAGGGAACATAAGGCCGATTCACACATCAGCTATAACAGGAAATATCCTCTCCAAAGGGTGTACGCCATAAATGACTTTGTACTTTACTTCATCCTCTTCATTAACATAGGACGTACCCAAAGTATCTAATGGAGTCCTAAAAATTCAGTAACGGGGCTTGAGTTTCTATGCTCAGGCCCACTCTCGCACTGTGGAGTGTACTTTCCTTTTCAATAAAACCCTTCATTCCTTCCTTGCTTAGTTTGTGCGTTTTGTCCATTTCTTTGTTCAAGATGCCTAGAACCTGGGCACCCTCCCCCGGTGATATTTGCTTTGATTGAAACCTCTGTTGGATGGTGCATCCTTAAAGAAGGGAAAATTTTGAGCAACTGCTTTCCTAACACCCAAAACCCTATGCAGTGATGGGTGACGCAGGAGTGAGCATCTACAAGCCGGGTCATGAGAATTCCTTCCCTGAATTTTAGAATTGGCTATAAAAAAATTCCAGACTCAGTCTGCTTTTTCCAAAATATCATAAAGATGTGACTCTGGAGTGTTTGTGGTCGTGATTTCTGACAGAAAGATTTAAGAAACTGCAGAAATTCATTCTCACTGAGGAAAAAAGAAAAAGATAAAAATAGCAGAATTAGCCAGTCAGAAAATCATACAACAGTTTGAAACAGAATGTTAGACATGACATGTCTGTATATTGAAATCATGTTATATATTAAGAGAGAGAAGAGAAAGTAGAGCAAACATGAATACCCTTCAGCCAAATATAAAAACCATTCAATACATCAAAATAACATTTCTAAAATTAAAATATGTTAGAAAAAATACATTAAAACCTTCAGTGGATTTGACCAAGAGTTGATCAGGTACAACTAAGACTAGAAATGGTAAATTGGAATATAGATCTGAGGAAGTCACCAAAAAGCAGGACAGAAATAAAAAATACAGGAAAATATGATAAAAAGGAATGAAATCATGTCCCTTGCAGCAGCATGGATGCAGCTGTAGGCTATTATCCTAAGTTGATTAACGCAGGTACACAATATCACATGTTATCACTTATAATAAATATAAATCAAATATCACATGTTATCACTTATAAGTGGGAGCTGAACTATGGGTACTCGGACATAAGGATGGCAACAATAGACACTGGGGACTACTAGATGGGGGAGGAAGGGTTGAACAGCTAACTGCTGGATGCTATGCTTACTACCTGGGTGACAGGATCATTCTTAGCCCCAACCTCAGTGACACACAATTTACCCATATATCAAACCTGCACATGTACCCCTTGAAATTAAAGTTGGGGAAAAATAGTACTAGTCAGAAACAGAAAAAAATTAAAAATATGAAACAGTGGAAGTGTTATAAATGGAAGACAAAAAGGAATAAAACAAGATTTGAAGAATAGAGAGTGGTGAACCATGAATATTTAAAACAAATTGGTATGTATGAATATTATTAAGTGTTGAAAGAAAAAGTACTCCCAGACTGAAGGAACATATTGTGTCCTAAGCAAAACTAATAATAAGGCATTCACCGCTGATACAAAAAAAACAATAACAAATCATAATAAACCTGAGAAAATTAAAGACAAAATTTAAACAGCTACCACAAATAAAAGACATTCATTTAAGGGAAATAAAGTTGAGACTAACTACAAACATATCATTAATAAGAAAAGATGCCAAAAAGCCATGAAGTAATATATTCAAAGTACTGCACAAAATTTTAGTAAAAAAGTCATGAAGATGTACTCAGAATTAGAGTGGAGGAATAAACTATAGTGTTCTATCCCACTGTAGGGTGACTGTAGTTAACAGTAATATATTATATGGTTTCACATAGCAAGAATGAGGATATGGAATGTTCCCCAGCACAAAGAAATGATAAATGTTTGAGATGATGGGTGTACTAATCACACTGATCTGATTACTATACATTATTTGTATAGAAACACCTATATGTATCCCATAAATATGTACAATTATTATATATTAATTAAAAATAATATATATATTTGATAGATTTTTTTGCCAAGTGCTAGAAACTTTTCTGGATCTTAGGCAAGCAATTGTCCTCAAAAGCATAAATCAAGCTAGAGAGATAGACCCAGACAACCTAACCCTACACACAGGATACATGTTTTAATAGATGCATTAAAAATAAATTAAAATGGGCAGGAAAACTAGATGCATTGATAAAGAAAGAAATTAGCAAACGTATTAGTACATCTAAATTGTCATGGATAATAAAATATTAATGTATAATATTGGGTGCTCAGGTTTGAAAAATGTCAAAAGCAAACTTTTTTAACATTGTATTCTATATATTATGAATATCCTACAAAAAGTACATAAAATATTGTGACAATTACCTTAAAAAATATAAATTTGTAGCTAAACTTGTAAAAAGAAAAAACAAATAGGCACCTAAAGAAACATCTGAAATCTGAAAAGTGCATTATCTTTCTTTAAAATTAAGAACATGTTTAACATACACCATATAAAACATGATCAATATAAAGCACCAACACGTCTCTCCTTTTCCTATGATGATGTGACTTCAGGCTTTATCTGTGCAGTGAGAACAACTACAATCTTGTCAGGGTGACAGTTTATCATTTTGTTTTATTGTTTTCTCCATATTAATAAATTTCTTTTTAAATTTTAACCATTTTCTAAATTTTTGGCTGTGGTCATTGTTGTTTTAAATATGCCATAAATTCTTCTGGGTTTTTCTGTTTTAAAGCTGATGCCTTTCCATTAATAGTTTTTTTCAGTAGGTGTTTACTTATAAACCGTTTTCTCATATTTGTATAAAAACTATATTTCACTCACAATCTTGTATGATATTTTGCTGGATATAAAATTTCAAGCAGCATAACTTTTCTTCACTATTTTGAAGATACTCTGTCTTCTGTTATCTTCATATACTTTTCAGTGTAAGTGTCTGACACTAATCTAATCATTATCCCTGTCTTTTAGTTATCTGAAAGCTTTTAAGATTGTATTTGCTCTTGATTATTTCAGCTTCATTATCAAATGTATAGATGTGGATTTACTTTTACTGCACAGAATTCAAGGTGCATTTTTGACGTGGGATAATTATGAGTCAAATATTTTAAAAGATTTCCGGATTTATGGCAGGTAATTAAATAGCATAATTATTGGTTACTCTGTTTTCCCTGTATTACTTTCCCACTTTACCACCATTATTTCCTTTATCTTTCTAGTAAGCTTCTTCTGCCTGAATCTTCTTTCTGAGAAAACTCAGTTAGATAGAAATTGTAATATATGAAGTTTTCTTTGCTTACTTCTTGCTTCCATGACCAGATGATATGGAAGTGCCCCAGTTCTTAAACCTTAGTCTTCTACTCTTTACTATCTACACTCTCTTTCCCAGTCAACTTATCTTATTCTTGGCTTTGAATACCATCAAAAGTCAACATCTTTGTGTAAGAGGTACCCAGAGGCGGGGAAAAATTTGAAGTCTGCGAAACTTAAACTCTCTTTTTGAAACCTGGATTCACACACCCTGCTGCCTGTATGATATCTCCACTTGGAGATAACATATCCAAAACTGAACTCCTGAATTCCTCCCACCAACAGAATCACCATACCCCTCTTCCTTTTCTGGTTTCTGGCTACTCAATGCTTCCAACTGTTCACACCTAAAACTTTGAAGACATCTTTTTTTTTTTATTTCTTTTATACACCACATACAATACTGTCTTCTCTACCTTCAAAGTGTATCCAGAATCTGACCAGTTTTCTGCAACTCCTGTTACCACCTTGGTCAAGGACAATATTTCTCCTGCCTACATTAGCACAAGTGTTCCCTAACGTATCTCTGTGCTTTTGCACTTCCCCATCTGAAATCTGTTTCCTGTAGCATATAAAGTGACGCTTCAAAACTTGTCTCATCATGCCATTCCTCTGTCCAAAATACCTCACTGACTTTTTACCACCCTCAGAAAATACAAATACCTTATAATAGCTTGCAAATGCCCACCAGATTTCTGTGACCTGTCTAACCTCCTTTCCTGTCTACTTCCTCTTATTCACTCTAATCTGGCCAAAATGTTCCCTCTTCCTAAAATGTTCTGCCCTCAATTACCCTAATGGTTATTTGAGGTTAATAGGTTAATATGGTTATATATAATAGGTTATATGAAGAAGGTTATTTGACCTTCTTCAAATATTTTTACAAATGTCACTTTTCTTATGGACCCTACGCTTGTTACCATAGTTAAAATTGCAAACCACCTTTCTCTCATGCACAAATATTTCTATACTTCTCTCATACTTTTGGTTTTTGAAAACACTTATCACCTATTAAAATATCTTTAACTTATTAATTTTATTATCTCTTTCCATCAACTGGAAGGACAGATACATTGGGCAGAGATGTTTGTCTTTTTTTTTTATAATGTGACTCCAGCACTCAGGACAGTTCACGATACATAGTAGATCCTTAATTAGTATTTGTTAAATGAATGAATGAAGAATGGATGTGTGTGTGTGTGTGTGTGTGTGTTTCCATGAAAAGTTCTGAAAGGATGAATGTGTAGCTGATAATGAGATAACTGGGTATCTTTTAAATCAGGAGAATGAAGTCATAGAGACAAGTATATGAAGATCTAGGAGGGAATAATAGTAAAATAATGTCCTAAAAGAAATGGAAAGGGGTCGAATACAGCTCATTGATCCAAAATGATGAAGTTTCAGGCAGAGACACCCAAGTCCAGTTGACAGTACATATACACACCATCATTAAAATGCACACAGTTTTGGATATACATGGACCAGTCAATAATGTAAGTTAAAATAAATAAAATATACTAATATCATCATCTTATAAATTATGGTGCTGAGTTACAAGTTAAACCAAAAATATTACAAAAGCAACAAAACAGCCTATCTCTTGATTTCTTAGAACTTAGTACCTGAAAATAATATGCACCAGAAAGCAAAAAAAAAAAAAAAAAAAAAAATCAGAACAAATTTTGTAGTACTTCATTGGCTTCATTAAAATGAATTTAATTGTATCAAGGTATGTAAATACATATTTGATTCTGGATATTTTCAACAAAGGATCTATAAGAACCGTGTGAAAACATATCTCATCCTAATTTGTGGTTGATGTTATTTCCATTGACTTCCTTCAAAAACATTGCTGGTGTTTCTTATACTCAATTTTCATCCTGAGGATTTCCCTGTAATTGCACTTGGTGAGAATTTCATATTGAGCAATTATCAGTATCACAGTGCTAATTTGAGTAGAAAAAAATTGTGTACATGTTACCATTTATTAATTAAATATACAAATGGTCCCCTTCCAGGTTTTTATGATGATCTGGAATTTACCCCAGAAATTAATTGCATTCCTTTCTACCATCACTAACTAAATTATTCATGAAAGCTTGTAGAGATTAATTCTGAATTATTATATTACCAAAAGAGAAGGTCATATGATCAAGTTAAAATGGAAATGGCAAAAGAGGGGAAATCTCTAATCATTCTGAAAGAATTATTTTTGGGTTATCACCTTGTTTGATTTTATTGCTTCTATGCAGTTTTTCCTTTAGAAATTAGATGCAGATGGTTTCAGCAGAAATGGCTGACATAGCTTATCAAAGATGAGATAGCTTCATTTATCCAGAATTTATGCAGAAAAAAAGTTTTTCTAAAAATGAAGCCAATAAACATGAAATAAGTAAACCAAAATATTTCTGACCATTCCCATATATATAAACAACAATATAAAAATTATATACACTTATAGAAAAAACTGTGAATGCATTTAGGTCATTATATGACAAAATGCAAAGCATTGCTATAATTTAAAAGGTTATATAACTAAGACTACATCTTTATTTTTTAATTTTTTTGTATTTTTTTTCCATGGGATAATTTCTGGTTCATGGACTTGCAGATAATACTCAGAAAAACATGTTGAAATAGGATATTTTTCCATGCATGCCTTTGGCAACAGAAGAATTATATGTAAATGAATGTGTTTATGTGTATCTCTTGTCTAAAAATGCAAGTTGGTATAGTATTTGGAGCAAAAACAGAAATAATGATTTATTGAAATATATTTTGTTTTATATTTATTTGGTAAAGAGTATTTTTATTACAATTATTATTTTTTTTTTTTTTTGAGACAGAGTCCTGCTCTGTCGCCCAGGCTGAGTGCAGTGGTTTGATCTCGGCGCATTGCAACCTCTGCTTCCTGAGTTCAAGCAATTCTCTTGCCTCAGCCTCCCCAGTAGCTGGGATTACTGGCACGTGCCACCATGCCCAGCTAATTTTTGTATTTTTAGTAGAGATGGGCTTTCACCGTGTTGGCCAGGCTGGTCTCGAACTCCTGACCTCATGATCTGCCCCCACCTCAGTCTCCCAAAGTGTTGGGATTACAGGCGTGAGCCACTGCGCCCTGCCTTCATTTGATTTTTATTTTATTTCTTTGATACAGGGTCTTGGTCTGTCACTCAGACTGGAGTGCAGTGGTGCTATTAGGTCTCACTGCAGCCTCAACCTCCTAGGTTCAAGAGATCTTCTCCCCTAGCCTCCTGAGTAGCTGAGACTACAGGCATGTGCCACCATGCCCAGCTAATTTTTGTATTTTTAGTAGAGATGGGCTTTCACCGTGTTGGCCAGGCTGGTCTCGAACTCCTGACCTCATGATCTGCCCCCACCTCAGTCTCCCAAAGTGTTGGGATTACAGGCGTGAGCCACTGCGCCCTGCCTTCATTTGATTTTTATTTTATTTCTTTGATACAGGGTCTTGGTCTGTCACTCAGACTGGAGTGCAGTGGTGCTATTAGGTCTCACTGCAGCCTCAACCTCCTAGGTTCAAGAGATCTTCTCCCCTAGCCTCCTGAGTAGCTGAGACTACAGGCATGTGCCACCATGCCTGGCTATTTTTTTCTTTTCTTTTCTTTTCTCTTCTACTTCTCCTTCTCCTTCTGTTGTTGTTTGTAGAGACAATGTCTCACTGCATTGCCCAGGCTGGTCTTTTGCCTTAGCCTCCCAAAGTGGGATTTTAGGTTTGAGCCACTGCACCCAGCCATAAAAGATACTTTTAAATGATATTTGTGATGAACCAGTTGACACAAGAAAGTTTTCAAGCCTATTTATTCTGACTATGAAGATGTTTCACCATTTTACAACCAAGACCACCATCTATATTATATATATGAACCTTGTTTTTACTTGGTGCCCTATGATGTTTTCTTTTATTTCCTTCTATTTATCTATTAGTTCAGGTCTATTGAAGCATTTTCCAACAATGATATTTGCTGTTTTTAATACAATTCAGTGAGTTTTGACAAACACATAAAGTGTGTGAAACCACTACAATCACGATATAGAACAGTTAGATCAATTCTTGAAGTTTCTTGGTGCCTTTTTGTTTGGTTGGATTTTTGTTTATTGTGGGGTTTTTTGTGTGTGTGTTATTTTTGTTTGTTTTTGTTTTGTTTTGATCACTTTATTTTATTTTATTATTATTATACTTTAAGTTTTAGGGTACATGTGCACAATGTGCAGGTTAGTTACATATGTTTACATGTGCCATGCTGGTGTGCTGCACCCATTAACTTGTCATTTAGCATTAGATATATCTCCTAAAGCTATCCCTTCCCCCTCCCCCCGGAATGTGATGTTCCCCTTCCTGTGTCCATGTGTTCTCATTGTTCAGTTCCCACCTGCGAGTGAGAATATGCTGTGATGGTCGCTTTCTTTCTAACAGTCTAGCCCTGGGCAGTAACTGATCTGGTTCCTGTTCTTATTGCTTTCCCTTTTCTAGAAAGCCATACAAATGGAATCACAGAGTATGTAGCCTTCTGGGTAGGTCTTTTTTCACTTAGCATAAATAATTTGAGAATTCTCCATGTTGTTGAACATGTCAGAAATTTGTCCTTTCAAAATTGCTTAGTAGTAGTCCATGGTACACATGTGTTACAGTGTGTTTAATCTTTACTTAGCTTAGGTATATTAGAGTTGTCTCAATAATTGCCCTTTACCAAGCTACTATAGATATTAATATATAGCTTGTTTTGTAAACTTAACAGACCATAGCTTGGCAAGGGTTGTCAAGAATGTGAAGTAACTGGAAATCTAATACATTCTTGGTAGAAATGCAAAATTATAAAGCTATTCCAGATAATAGTTTAGTGGTTTCTTATAAAGTTAGACATAACTTACTATGGCATACAACAATCCACTTTTAGGTATTTTTAAAGTAAAATGAAAACTCATGTTTTTTAATATGGTTATTTGCTATTCATACATCCTATTTTGTGAAATCTCTGTTCAACTCTTGTCCATTTTTAAACTGAGTTTGCTGTTGTCGTTGGTGTTATATATTCTAGATACAAATCTTTTGTCTAAGTGTTTCACATGTATTTACTTCCAGTTTGCGGATGTTGTTTTTCCTTTCCTTAAATGCCTTTATTTTAAGAAGAGCAGAAATTTTTAAATTTTATGACATACAACGTAATTATTTAATGAATCATGCTTTTTTATCATACCTATACCTAAGAAACATTTGCCTACCACCAAGAGTTTTTCACTATTTTTCTTCTAGAAATTTTAAGAATTTCCTAATTTATGTTATGCATTTAAGGCTTAATCCATTTTAAGTTAATTTTTGCCTAAAATGAAAAGAATAGATTAAGGTTTTTTTTTTTATTCACATGAATATCCAATTGCTTCAGCAGCATTTGTTGATAAAATTCCTCTTTGTCCATTAAATTACCTTTGAAGTTTGTAGAAAATCAACTGACCATATGTGTATAGGTTTATTTCTGGGTGCTATCCTGTTTCATTGATTTTTGTGTCCATACTTTACAAATACCACACTATGCTGATTAGTATAATTGGAAGTGTTTGTTTACAGGATTCTTTGTCCTTGTCAGGATTTTAATGATATCACTTCATTGTTCTTTGAAGTTTTTTGAAGTTTCCAAGTAGAACTAACAGTTATGTTGAGCAAGATCACTGGCTACAAAGTTAATTTACAGAAAACAATAGTGTTTCTATATAGTAGCAATGACCATTTGGAAATTACAAGTTTTAAATGTCCACACATGCAATTGTATAGAAATATAACAAATCTACTAAAATATGTTTACTGCTAACAAGATCCATTGCTAACAAGACCGATTTACTATAGTAAATCTTAAAATAATAAAATGTGCATTTTCTAACTGTACCTTTTTTACAAAACTGTTTTTGCTATTCTTGTTTCATTGCTTTCTATATACATTTTAGTATTCATTCATTGATTTTTACAGAAGCAATCAAACAAAATGTTAGATGCTGGCATTTTGATTCAGATTGTGTTTATTCTGTAGACTTATTTTAGAAAAATTGATGTCTTACAAGTAGAGTCTTCAGATCTATGAAACTGGCATATTCCCTTTTTTGGTTTCATTTCCGTGATCAGTATTTTATTGTTTCCAGGAATCAGTCTTGATAGTAGGAAACATATTTTGGTAGATTTGTTAGATTTATACATAATTGCATGTGTGGACATTTAAAACTTTTAATTTCCAACTGGTCATTGCTACTCTATGGAAACAAAATTGTTTTCTGTAAACTAAATTTGTAGTCAGTGATCTTGCTCAACGTAACTGTTAGTTCTATTTGGAAACTATGTATATAAAAAAATAAAGTGACATCATTAAAATCCTAACAGGGAAAAAGAACCCTGTAAACAAAGACTCCTACATTCAGCATGTTAAGTAGTTCAATTTTATTTTAATGTAGACATGAATAATTAAAATCAATATCATGAACCCCAAGGTAATCATTAATTTTTAAGAGATATAAATAATGAGTCAATGTTGGTGATAATTTGGTTAAAAATAATATAAAACAGATAGTATAAAAGGAACAGAAACAGAAAGAATAAAATATGAGAAAGATGGTAGACATTATTTCAATAATATCATTAATAATTCAATAAAATTGAAATACACTTGAGCATACATTTAAAAAGATGACACTTAAATGGCCAAAAATATAAATAAATGTTCATCTAACTTATTATAAAAGCTTAGAAGAGTCAGGATTCTCATATACTATACCAGAAATAAGAATTTCTACAACTTTGGAAATTTTTTAATAAATTTGAAGATAAATATATTTTAACTCATTCATCTTACTTTTAGATATATGCCCCCTAAAAATACGTACATCTGTATTAAAGACAAGCAAAAATATTCATGGCCTGAGTATACATAATAGCCGAAATCTAGGAACAACCTAAAAGTTCATTCAGTACAAAAATAGGAAAATAAATTTTGTTATAATCACAAAATGGAATACTGTACAATGAGAATAAACTACAACTATATATAACATAGACACATTTTTAAGTATGTAATTGTAATAAAAATAAATTGGACATAAAAATAATATGTAATGAATGGTTCTATTTATATAGACTTTTAAGTGCAGGAAAACATAAACTTAGAAAAATGCATAAAGCAACAAAACTCTAAAAAAAACAAGGATGTGATTATCAAAAAGTTAAGAAAGTGGTCACCTGATGAGATGAGGGAGTGCAGAGTGAGGAATGCTAAAAAAAAAAAAGGCTTCTAGAATTTTGACATTGACATTGTTTTACATTGTCATTAGTGTAATGGCTATAGGAATGTGTTTTTTTAAAATTAGAGCTGTACAATTTTGCTATGTGTGCTTTTTTATTTGAGCATTATATTTCACATATATAAATTATGTTATATATCTATATAAATTATATATACATATATATATAGTGGTTCTTGATAAACTTGGCCTTGTAAACAATAATAAGTAAGTCACACTTCTTCCCCCACATCCCACATTAATAGTCACATTAAAATGCATGACAGACACAAAATACCAAGTCACTGTAAATGACAAATACTCCAGTGATCTGACAGATAGCAAACACAACTTTTATACATGAATACATGGAAGGAAATCTGAAGCTAAGCACTAGAGGCAGAAAAAGGGCAACTGAAAATGCCTTCTCATTCTGCCCTACATGCATAGACTTTACATGTATATGTTTATTGCAGAACAGAATGACAACTGACATGGAAAATATTTTTGAAATTAACCTGCACCATTTCTATTTTCCGTAATGTTAATTTAAACGTCTCCTTCAATCCCTTGTCATGAATAGTAATGTGTAAGTAGTAGGAATCTCGCCATCATAGAACTAAAACTCAAAACAACAATAACAAAAAACAGTTGATCTTTGGGATGTTTGGCACCCATGCACTGTTTTGGCAAAATAATTACTAAAATTGCTTTAAAATTCCTCTAAAATATAACCTGCTACTTTATAGTATCAATAGATAATGGCAGCTAAATATTCCACTAATATTAAAATAGTGATAAATTATTTATAACACTGATAAAAGAAATGTAAAAGATCCAGTCAGTCAATTAGTGCTCAAGAGGAATCTAGCTCCCACTGTTGAAATAATTACAGACTTCTGCACTATACAAGGAGACTATAGAATTAAAGATTCGGAGAAAATATGCAGTTTTGAAATATACCATTAAACTGAAATTTAGAAAGTATGTACTTAGTTATTTCAATAAGTTTATTAATTATTAAAATATAGATTCTTTATAATGAGAAATTCAAGATACTTTCAAAAGAAATGTGGATGCAATTAAAAAGGAAATGGATGTTATAAAAAGTTTTTGGACAAGACAAGAACAATATTTTAGGAAGAATTCAAATGAAACAGCAAAATTTAAACTTTCATTAAAAAACAAAATGAATGCTGATAATATTATTGGAAAAGATTAAACCAATGTCTAACAGCAGAACTTGAGAGATTTTATCAGAAAAAAAAGAAAAAATGTTTTCAGAAATGTGTGTGAATATGTGTGTTGTGTGAAACAACATGAATGACAGAGGAAAGAGAGGAGGGCAAAAGAAAGAGATCCTGCATAATAATATTGATATTCTTAAAGACTGCAGAGAATAAACAAGTGGCACAAGAGCAGTAAAAGGCATAGTCTAAGTCTTTTCTGAGGTTAAGAAAGAATATAATATTTTAATCAAAATTGTGCAATGAATAACAAGAAAATATGTTGAAAAAGAGAGGCAGAGCAAGATGACCAAATAGAAGGCTCTACAGATCATCCCCTTTCCAAGGACACCAATTTAACAGCTATTTACACAAAACTGGCACCTTCATAAGAGCCAAAAGTTAGGTGAACACTCACCTGACCTGGTTTTGAATTCATAATGCTGAAAGAGGCATTACAGATGGTAGAAATGGCTATTGCCACCCCTTGCCCATTCCCTGGCATCAGCCTCACAGCATGGAGAATCTGTGCACCCAGGAGAGGGAGAACACAGAAATTCTGAGACATGGCATTGAACTCAGTGCTGCTCTGTCACAGCAGAAAGCAAAACCAGGCTAAACTCAGCTGATGCAAATTCTGGCAAGCCTTGCGACCATCAGGGCTAATGTATTCTGGGGCCTTAAATAAACTTGAAATGCAGTCTAGGCCACAAATACTGACACTCCTAGGTGAGTCCTAGTTCTGACCTGGGCTCAGAGCCAGTGGACTTGAGGAAGGCACAAGACTTACTGAGACACCAGCCCAGGCAGCTAAGTAAGTGCTTGCGCCACCCCTCACCCAAACCCAGGCAGCATGGCTTGGGACTCTAAAAGAGACCCCTTCTCTACCCTGAAGGAGAGAAGGGGAGATGAAAGAGTAAAGAGGTCTTTGTGTTGCATCTTTGATACTAGGTCAGTCACAGTAGGACAGGGCACTAGTCAGACACATAAGGCCCCCTTTCCAGGTCCTAGTTCCCAGATGACATTTCTTGACACACACTGGGCCAGGATGGAACTTGCTATCTTGAAGGGAAGGATCCATCCTTGGCAGGAGCCAACACCTGCTGAGTGATGAGCCCTTGGACCCCAAATAACCAGCAGCAATACCCAGGTCGTACACTGTTGGCCTTGGGTGAGACCCTGAGACTAGCTGGCTTCAGGTGAAATGCAACACAGTGCCAACTGTGGCAGCTATGGGGAGAGACTCCTTCTGCTTGAGATAAGCAGAGGAAACAGTAAAGGGGAGTTTGTCTTGCATGCTTAGGTACCAGCTCAGCCACCATGTGTTAGAACACCAAGTGGGCTCTTGGAGTGCCTTATTCCAGGCTTTGGCTCTCAGATGGCATTTCTAGACCTGCCCTGGGCCAGAGGGGATCCCACTTCCCCGAAGGGTGAGTCCTAGGCCATGCAGCACTCACCACAAGCTTACTTAAGAGGTTAGAGCCTTAAGTGAACATCAGTGGGTAGCCTGGGAGTACTCCTTGTGAGCTGATTATGATGGTAGCCATGTGGTGAAGCTCTTCTATATGTCAGCAGAGAACAATCTGAAAAAGAAATCAAGGAATTAATCCCATTTTCAATAGCCATAAATAAAATAAAATACCCAGGAATAAACTTGGCCAAAGAAATTAAAAATGTCTACAATGAAAACTATAACACATTGATACAAGACATTGAAAAAGACACATAAAGTTCATGTGTTAGAAGAAGCAATATTGTTAAAATGTCCATACTACCCAAAGCAATCTATAGATTTCATGTAACCTCTATCAAAATACCAAAGACATTCTTCATAGAGATAGAAAAACAATCCTAAAATTTATCTAGAACTACAAAAGACCCAGAGTAGCCAAAGCTATCCTAAGCAGAAAGAACAAAACTGGTGGAATCATGTTACCTGACATTAAATTATACTACAGAGCTATAGTAATCAAAACATCCTGGTACTGGCATAAAAACAGACCCTCAAGTCAGTGGAACAGAATAAAAAATCCAGAGATAAATCCATACATCTACAGTGAATTAATTTTTCACAAAGGTTGCCAAGACAGTCTCTTCAATGAATGATGCTGGAAAAAACTGGATATCCATATGCAGAAGAAAGAAACTTGACCCTATCTCTTTCCATATGCAAAAAACAAATGCAAATGGATTAAAGACTTAAATCTAAGACCTCCCACTATGAAACTACTAAAAGAAAATATTGGGGAAACTCTCCAGGACATTGGACTTGGCAAAAATTCCTTGAGTAATACCCCACGAACACAGACAACCAAAGCGAAAATGGACAAATGAGATCACATCAAGTTAAAAAGCTGCACAGCAAGAGAACAATCAACAAAGTGAAGAGACAACCTACAGAATGGGAGAAAATATTTACAAACTCCCCTTCTGACAAGGAATTAATAACCAGAATACATAAGGAGCTCAAACATCTCTATAGGAAAAAATATAGTAACCTAATTTTAAAAATAGGCAAAACAGGCATGGTGTTGCACACCAGTGGTTCCAGCTGTTCACAAGGCTGAGATAGGAGGATTGCTTGAGCCAGAGAGGTGGAAGATGCAGTGAGAAGAGATCATACCACTGCACTCCAGATTGGATGACAGAGCAAGATCTTGTCTCACCAAAAAACAGCAATGACAACAACAAAACCTGAAAGAGCAACAACAACAACAAACTTCCTACTCTTTCTATCCATAATAAAACATTATATTTGTATACAATGCCATTATATTTGTTTACAATGCTCCATCACTTTAAAGGTAAAAAATACTTTGACATCTTATCACATCTCATCACTTGTAATGCAGCATATTACACACGTTTTGTTTTCTTCATTTACTGAAGGGAGAATCCTTTTATAGAAGTTAATTTTGTTTCTCTTCAAGCTTGAGATCTTATTGGAAATTGAGAGCAAGGAAGTAGTCAGTCATGACCTGGAAAAATACTAGAAGAAATGTGGCATATTTGGCCTGTCTTCATACTTAGCTTTGTGAAAACAGAGAAGCAGAAGGGCACAGAGAAAACAGTTAGCTTAGGAGTTTATCAGATGAAATCCCTAGATCTTTTATTGAAGCTAAAATTACTGATGTAGAATTTCTACTCTTGCAATGTCTGAAATAAATGGATTTTAGCTCTACTTTTCTAAAGAAAAAAAGTTCTTCTTCCATAAACACACATTCAGATTTGAAATAGAAATTGCCTTATATAGAATCTGGAAGTCAACTTTTCTAAGTTTTATGAACTTATGATTACTTTCCCTTTATTTTTGCATGTTTTTCTCTTTAAACCTTCAATTAAGTTATGGTATAAAGCATACTGTTTATTTTAGGTAATAAAATATTGGATACTATTGAGTTTTGTAGCCTTTTTGGTTAAATCATTGTTAAATTACTGACCCATATACAGTAATTTTTTCCCTCATTTTGTCGTTTGATGAAAGTTGTAAGCTCTTTAATGAATCAGTTTTCTAGCCTTATTGTACTTCTCAATTTTAATGTTTCATTATGTATGGTTTGGCACCCCAGATAGCCCATTTTAGAGGTTTACTTCTCTAAAAAGAAGTGATTCATTTTCATGTTATGAAAATTAAAAAATCAATGTGGACTTGCTCATGCATAGCAAACCCACCTTAATTATGTAGCTTCTGCAAGTGAGGTAACTGAATTAATTCTTGCCTGTCTTGACTCCTTATATAAATAAGAGCCAGATTATCTTATATATAGATTCAGGGCAAGCTCTTCTTCGATACTTAATTACCTCTCCCATGCTATCTTCCTTAATGATAGTGTATGAAGTCAATTCTGCAACATCCTCTGTGATAGCATACATACAAATTATTTAATGTTGTAAAGACTACACATCCTTTGGTCTGGGACTTTTACTTACTTTGAAATGGCTAGATGTGTTTTTCATACTTTCCCGTTTATTGGAACTTGCTGTTTCCTCTTCATAATGTTAGTTTTCCATCAGAGTATATGCAAGCAATGCACAGTAGTTTTCTTGTACTGTCACTTTTTCACTAAATTTTTTGGCTTTTTTTTTTTTGCATTATTTGTTTCAAGAAAAGGGAATCTCTCATGTTATTGTCATTCTTAATAGGTCATGTTATAGGCACATACCTATTAAAAGATTTTGTTATCTCATATTTCTCTATAATCCAGTAACAAATAAGATCAGTCCTTTTTCATTGAGTATGTCACATTTCCTTTTTACCAGATTAGTTTACAATCACAAAATCAGAAATATAACTTTCAGAATCCCCCAGATGTTATAAATTGTATTAAATTATAAAGTCTGTAGGCATGCAATTAATGTTTTCTGAAATATTCAAATTATTTATTCTTAAAATATAGGTTGTGTGTCATTTATGAAAGATATGATCTAAGTGTCTTAAAAAAATCAGCTTATTACATTGATAGGATAAGATGAACATTTTACTAAATCATGTTGATTGTCAGATATTTATTTTCAAAAAGATCAAACTAAATTTATGCCTCACACATCAAAGATAAATTTCAAATACATTTTATACCTAAATGCACTAGAAGAAAACAGGTAAGTTCCTTTATAATCATAATGCAGGGAACATTTGAGCTTCAACTTGAAAACTAAAGCCATTTCAAACATTCCGTAAATTAAACTACTTAATACATCTTAAATATCCTATGTTAACAGAAGAGTAGCCAGGAAGGAAGCACAATTTGCATTCCAAAATGTGGTATCTAAATATATTTTCCTACTGAAAGCAATGATGATGGGTCTCCAGGGAGACCCGGCTGAACAATGAGAACACATGGACACAGATCATGTGTTGATAGGTGCAGCAAACCACCATGACGCATGTATACCTACGTAACAAACCTGCACATTCTGCACATGTATCCCAGAACTTAAAGTTAAAAAAAAAAAAGTCAGTGTTTTGTTAAGAAGAGAGCCACAGTTCCTGTTATTCTCCCATTGTTACAGAGAATCTTGCAGTGGGCAGAGTGCTATAAAGAACACCTGGCGTATATGTGCGTTTTGAAGAGTCCATTCTGTTTGTAAGGGCAAGCCTTGACAGCAGCCTTGTCAGTAAAGGTAAAACTATTGAGGCACCAACAAGTTTGCACTTAGATGTCACTGTACATTACTATTAGAGTTTTCTGAAAATTCCAAATATCTAGTGTAGAGGCACAGAGAGAAGACGACAATCAATCCCATAATATTTTCAGTTTGCAAAGAAGTGGGGATCACTGATTCTAGCTTGCTCTTGATCTAGCCAAGTAGAGAAAGAGTTCAATGTCATTTTCAGACAAACTACATTATTATGCTTCATCCCCTGAACCAAAGTGTCATTTGAACAACAAATATTAACCATATTTTTAAAACTTGATCTAGTATTAGGTCCATATTCAAAGTTATCTCAAAGACAATATTTAATGCTGGTTTCTTAAAACTAAATCATATCAGATTAATGTAAATGTAAGTTCTGAATGTTGACTTGGTTTTTGATAAGTTACATGTCTCTTAACCTATGCCAATCCCTGGGAACATTTTTATGTTATTGTTTAAATGCATTAAGTATTTAAAAAAAAAAGGTCAATTTTTTTTAAGTCAAAACTTTTAGATGTGTTTTTTTTTGTGGGATATAATTCATGTGGTAAATACTTTCACTGCTTATTTAAAATGGGAGTTAGATTGAAATGATCAAAGAGATTTGGACTGGATATTTTAACAAGAATACTCCCTAAGTTGCATTGTGTATTTTGTTATTCAAATGCAGCAGAAGACATGCAATGTCTGAATGCCCCTCTATTAATGATGTTACGATCACTTAAAGTATTAACAGGTGGAGTTTTTTTATTGCAAGCTTCCATGTCCTCCTTTCAAATCATATGTGATTTTTTCATCTAATATTTTGGCACTATGTATGTACTCAGTTTCACATAAACTTTCATCTAATAATTTTGGCACCCATCGATTTTTATTGTCTTAGTAACAATTTTCTAATTTTATAATTTCTTCTATATTAATCAGCTAGCATTATTCTATAAAGAAGAGCTTTCATGAATCAAAACACTATATGGACAAATTGAAAATATACGTCTAATTTGAAATGTGGAGCTAAAACTTGATTCTCTAAATGTAGTAAAATGCTTTTAGAATAAGAAGTTCGTTAGATAACTACTTCCTTTTGCTACAAATGAGGTAAATTTTTGTACTTTTTTCATGTTATTATGGATTTATATACATTAATGTTGAAAACATCCTGACTGTGGATAGTAGTATCTCTTTCATGATGGTCCTTGTATTCTGTTGATATGATACATTAGTTTTCTTCTCTTTCTGGTCTCTCAAGTCTGGTATTTCAAGTTATTCCAGGAATATTTTATATAGATAGGCTTCAAGTACTGTCCAGTAGAACTTCTACATTAATGGAAATGTCCTACATTTCTATTACCCATTCAGATAGGCTTCACCTATGTGTGGCTATTGAGCACTTGAAGTGCAGTTAGGGCAACTGAGGAGGTGTATTTTAAATTTTACTTAATTTGAACAAATATCAATTTTAATTACAATAATCGTGTCATTACTGGCTACTGTGTTAGTCCATCAAGAAGGATAAATAAATAAGAAAAAAATAAAGAAGGTCGAGTAATAGAGTACTGGGATAAAAAGAAAAGAAAGGAAGGATGAAGGAAGAAAGAAAAATAGATGTAGAAAAATACTTAAAATCAATAAAATAGGAGATTTTAAAAATAGTAAAATAATTTTAAAAATGTTATAATAATGGTATACCACGTGATTCTAGTGTATTAATATTGTATAGTTTTTCTATTTATGATTTTAATATGCAAATTCAGAGATGGAATTTTGAACACAAGGTATTATCAGTTCTACCTGGTGTTGCCATTTGTCCTTGAAGAGGGTCTTGAATATGATCTGTAGAAAAGACTGACATAAAGCATCTCACTAACAGAAGGAATTTGTGATGAACTTTCTTCTTAATCTAGATTAATTAGCTAGATTCTTAATCTAGTATCTAGCTAATGATACTAGATTAGCTCATTACTGGGTGCTTTTTTGTTTTCATTTGAACACTTCATTTTACTAGTTGTGTCACGTAAACAGATGTCAATATAGTGTAAATTATATTAAGAGATACTACTGCTTGTATTGTATTCATTTTGTAATTTAAGATTAGATGTTGCAATATCTGAATCCCATTCCCAATGGCGATACTTCAACATGAGTTTATAAGGGCCGTAACAATCATTCACATTTTGTACCAGCGTAGGTCACTCACTACTCCTGAATCAGTATGACAACTTCATCTATAGAAAGACATAGGGAGATTATAAGGCAAGATGAAAGAAATGTAAGCATTCAAACTCCTTCTTTCAAACCAATTGGGAAGTGTTTTTTATCTGAGTTCTTAGTGGGTTAACTGAATTTCTTCTATGGAACTGATAGGGACAGGAGGCAAGGAAATTCTGGGCAGAAGAGGGTGAGTCCCTAGTGAGTGCCTCACCCTCAAGCCTGGAACCGTGGCCCAAAAGGAGAACATGCATTCCTGTTTTCCTGCTCGAATGTTGCCTTTTCTAAAACCATGAAAGCCCCAGGCTCCACTGGGAGAGAGAGGAGAAGAGGAGAAGAAGTGGGACATTAGAGACTATGGTTGGTTGGAGGCTGGAGAGAAGCAGCTTTACTTCAGAGAAACAGCTTGACCACTTGCTTCCAAGAGGAGTCAGGCAGTAGATGGTTAGACTCTGGGGAAATGTTATTTTCCTACTCCATCCCCTTTTCAGCTCCCCTTCCCACTGAGAATCACTTTCGATGGCAATAAAATCCCTACATTTACCATCTCTAATTTGTTCGTGTGACCTCATTCCTACCGAGTGCTGGTCAAGAACTCCAGTGCAGGTGCAAAAGGCTGTCACACTGACCCTCCACTGAGCTGTTAACACTTAAGTCATCCACGGGTGGCAAAGCTAAAAGAGCACTTACTGTAACACTTTTTCTGGGGCTTCGGTGGTTGCAGGCACCCCCCTACAGGCTGCTGCGGGGCTGCACAGAATTTTGCTCCTGCTGGCAACCAAAAGTGTTCGCCCCAGGTCCTGTACTTGTGATCCCCCTCTTGCAAGGGGTGCAATGCAGCAGGACCCTAGCGAGTGGAGTCGGCCCCTGCTGGCACAGAAGAGGCTGACTAGTTTTTTTTTAATTTTTAATTTTTATTTTATTATTATTATACTGTAAGTTTTAGGGTACATATGCACAATGTGCAGGTTTGTTACATATGTATACATGTGCCGTGTTGGTGTACTGCACCTATTAAGTCGTCATTTAGCATTAGGTATCTCTCCTAATGCTATCCCTCCCCCCTCCCCCCACCCCAGAACAGTCCCCGGAGTGTGATGTTCCCCTTCCTGTGTCCATGTGTTCCCATTGTTCAACTCTCACCTATGAGTGAGAACATGGTGGTATTTGGTTTTTTGTCCTTGTGATAGTTTGCTGAGAATGATGGTTTCCAGTTTCATCCATGTCCCTACAAAGGACATGAACTCTTCATTTTTTATGGCTGCATAGTATTCCATGGTGTATATGTGCCACATTTTCTTAATCCAGTCTATCATTGTTGGATATTTGGGTTGGTTCCAAGTCTTTGCTGTTGTGAATAGTGCCGCAATAAACATACATGTGCATGTGTCTTTATAGCAGGATGATTTATAATCCTTTCGGTATATACCCAGTAATGGAATGGCTGGGTCAAATGGTATTTCTAGTTCTAGATCCCTGAGGAATCGCCACACTGACTTCCACAATGGTTGAACTAGCTTACAGTCCCACCAACATTGTAAAATTGTTCCTGTTTGTCCACATCCTCTCCAGCACGTGTTGTTTCCTGACTTTTTAATGATCGCCATTCTATCTGGTGTGAGATGGTATCTCATTGTGGTTTTGATTTGCATTTCTCTGATGGCCAGTGATGATGAGCATTTTTTCATGTGTTATTTGGCTGCATAAATATCTTCTTTTGAGAAGTGTCTGTTCATATCCTTCGCCCACTTTTTGATGGGGTTGTTTGTCTTTTTCTTGTAAATTTGTTTGAGTTCATTGTAGATTCTGGATATTAGCCCTTTGTCAGATGAGTAGGTTGCTAAAATTTTCTCCCATTTTGTAGGTTGCCTGTTCACTCTGAGGGTAGTTTCTTTTGCTGTGGAGAAGCTCTTTAGTTTAATTAGATCTCATTTGTCAATTTTGGCTTTTGTTGCCATTGCTTTTGGTGTTTTAGACATGAAGTCCTTGCCCATGCCTATGTCCTTGAATGGTATTGCCTAGGTTTTCTTCTAGGGTTTTTATGGTTTTAGGCCTAACATGTAAGTCTGGAATCCATCCTGAATTAATTTTTTTATAAGGTGTAAGGAAGGGATCCAGTTTCAGCTTTCTACATATGGCTAGCCAGTTTTCCCAGCACCATTTATTAAATAGGGAATCCTTCCCCCATTGCTTGTTTTTGTCAGGTTTGTCAAAGATCAGATGGTTGTAGATATGCGGCATTATTTCTGAGGGCTCTGTTCTGTTCCATTGATCTATATCTCTGTTTTGATACAAGTACCGTGCTGTTTTGGTTACTGTAGCCTTGTAGTATAGTTTGAAGTCAGGTAGCGTGATGCCTCCGGCTTTGTTCTTTTGGCTTAGGGTTGACTTGGTGATACAGGCTCTTTTTTGGTTCCATATGAACTTTAAAGTAGTTTTTTCCAATTCTGTGAAGAAAGTCATTGGTAGCTTGATGGTGATGGCATTGAATCTATAAATTACCTTGGGCAGTATGGCCATTTTCACGATATTGATTCTTCCTACCCATGAGCATGGAATGTTCTTGTTTTGTAAAGAAGCTTTCCTTCTATTCAAAAACTGCTCAGAGATTTTTTCAAGAAAGAATGTTGGACTTTCTCAAATGCTTTTTCCGTGCCAGTTGACATAATCATGTAGTGTTTATCTTTTCATTCTGCTAATGTGATGCATAACATTGATTTATTTGCATACGTTAAACCAAACTTGCATGCCAAAATAAATCCCACTTGATCATGATGTATAATCTTCTTGATATGTTCTTGGATTTGGTTTGATAATACTTTTTTGAGAATTTTTGTGTCAATGTCCATTAAAGAGATTGGCCTGTAGTTATCTTTTCTTGTGATATGTGTCTGACTTAGGTATCAAGGTGATGCTGGCCTCATAAAATGTTTGGAAGTGTTCCCTCTATCTCTATTTTTTGGAAGAATTTAAGAAGCATTGGCCTCAATTGTCCTTAAATGTTCGGTAGAAATTAGCTGTAAAGCCATCTGTTTCTGAGCTTTTCTTGTTGGGAGGTTTTTAGTTGTTTTTTTCAATCTCTGTGTTTATTGGTCTGTTCAGCCTATTTCTTCCCAGTGCAATGAATCAATAAATAATTTTCTCACTTTCATTTTTTATTTTATTTATTGGACTCTTTCTTTTTTTCTTAGACTAGCTAAGGGTTTGTCATTTTAATTTTTTTCAAAAAACAAACTCAGTTTTATTGCTTCTTTCTGATTTTTCTGTTCTCTATACAATTTATTTCCATTACTATTTTTATTATTTGCTTCCTTTGGCTAATTTTAGGTTCTGTTTGTTGTTCTTTTTCTTCTTTTTTTAGGTGTAAGTTAGACTATTTATTTGAGATTTTTTTTTTCATTTTTCAGGTACAAATTCGTCACTCTAAACTTTCATTTTAGAACTGATTTGCTGTGTTGAATTGATTTTGAAGTATTGTGTTTCCATTGCCATCTGCCTCAAAATATTTTTTAATATCCCTTTTGATTTTTTTTTACCCATTTGTTATTTAAGAGCATGTTCTTTAAATTTCACATATTTGTACATTTTTCGCAATTTCTATTATTGATTTCTAGTTTCACACCATTGTGGTTTAAAATAATACTAGATATGATTTCAACCTTCTTCAAAGTTCTGACTTGTTTTGTGACCTAATATACAAGGTCTATCTTGGAGAATGTTTCATATGCATTAGAGAAAAATGTGTATTATGCTTCTATTGGATGGTAAGTTCTGCATATATCTTTCAGTCCATTTAGTCAAAAGTGTAACTCAAGTCCAAATTTTCCTCATTAATTTTTTTGCCTAGTCAATCTATTTCTTGTTGAAAGTGGGATATTGAAGTCCTCTACTGTTATTGTATTGCCATTCACTTCCCTCTTCATGTCCATTAATATTTGCTTTATATATTTAGGTGCTCCTATGTTGGGTGCAGATATGTTTACAATTGTTATTTCCTCTTGATTAGTTGACCACTTCATTATTAAATATTAACCTTTGTCTCTTGTGACAGTTTTTTGTCTTGAAATCTGTTTTAGCACATACAAGTGTAGCGACCCCTGGTCTCTTTTGGTTACTGTTTGCATAGGATATCTTCTACCATACCTTTACTTTCAGCCTATGTATGCTCTTAAAGCTTAAGTAGACCTCTTGTAAGCAGCTTATAGGTGAATCTTGTTTTTTAATCCATTTAGCCATTCTATGTCTTCTGATTGGTGAATTTAATGTATTTAGGTTAAATAGGTTAGGTTTAATTCATCACGTTTTTATCCATTTAGTTTTTTAATCTATCTAAGGTTATTATTGATGAATAGGACTTACTGCCACCATTTTGTTATTTGTTTTATGAGAATTTTGTAGCTCCTTTGTTTCTTTTGTCCTCTCTTGCCTACCTTTGTTATTGGGCATTTTTTTTTTGTAGTGCTAAGCTTTGATTCCTTCTTCTTTATCATTTGTGTATCTACTGTAGTTTTTTTGTTTTGTAGTTACCATGAGACCTACATTAAATATCTTATAGTTACAATCAACTATTTTAAACTGATAACTTCTGCTGAACACACAATTTTTAGATTTTCACCCTCCCCCTCATAATTTATGCTTTTGATGTCATAATTTACATATTTTATATTGTGTATGCCTTAACAACTTATTGTAGTTTTAGTAATTTTTGACCGTTTTGAATTTTAACCTTCATAATAGAAATATGTGTGATTTATACACCACCATTACAATATTATAGTATTCTTGTTTTGACTATGTATTTACCTGCACCAATTAGTTTTGTACTTTCATATGTGTTTACAATAGTAATTATCATTTTTTCAA